>NC_000005.10:163034051-163337081 GCF_000001405.40 Homo sapiens
AAGAGGAAGGAAGTTAAGCTCTGCTATGGTTTGGTTTGGTGTCCCCACCCAAATCTCATCTTGAATTGTAATCCCACCATCTGCACTTGTCTCATGGGAGGCACCCAGTGGGAGGTAACTGAATCATGGGGGCAGTTTCCCCCAGGCTTTTCTTGTGATAGTGAGTGAGTTCTCTGGAGATATGATGGTTTTATAAGCGTCTGGAATTTCCCCTGCTGGCACGCATTCTCTCTCCTGGTGCCCTGTGAAGAGGTGATAATTATAAGTTTCCTGAGGCCTCACAGCCATGCAGAACTGAGTCAATTAAACCTTTTTTTTTTTTTATAAATTACCCAGTCTCAGGTATTTCTTCATAGCAGCATAAGAATGGACTAATACAGCAAATTGGTACCAAGGGAGTAGGGTGCTGCTATAAGGATAACCAAAAATGTGTAAGTGATTTTGGAACTGGGTAATAGGCAGAGATTGGAGCAGTTTGGAGGGCTCAGAAGAAGACAGGAAAATGTGGGAAAGTTTGGAATTTCCTAGAGACTTGCTGAATGGCTTTGACCAAAAAGCTGACAGTGATATGGACAACAAAGTCCAGGCTGAGGTGGTCTCAGAGGGAGATGAGGAATTTCTTGAGAACTGGAATAAAGATAACTCTTGCTGTGCTTTAGCAAAGAGACTGACATCATTTTGCCCTTACCCTAGAGAACTGTGGAACTTTGAACTTGAGAGAGATGATTTAGGGTACCTGGTGGAAGAAATTTCTAAGCAGCCAAGCCTTCAAGAGAAAGCAGAGCATAAAAGTTTGGAAAATTTGCAGCCTGTTGATGCAGTAAAAAAGAAAAAATGTAGTTTCTGGAGAGAAATTCAAGCTGATTGCAGAAATTTGCATAAGTAACAAGGAGCCAAATGTAAATAAAACAAGGGGTAAAATTGTCTCCAGGGCACATCAGAGGTCTTTAAGGCAGCCCCTCCCACACAGCCCCTCCCCTCACAGAGTAGGAGGCTTAAGAGGAAAAAATGGTTTCATGGGCCTGGCCCTGGCCATGCTGTTTTGTGCAGTCTCAGAACTTGGTGCCCTGCATTCTAGCCATGGCTAAAAGTGGCCAAAGTACAGCTCATACCATTGCTTCAGAGGGTACAAGCCCCAAGCCTTGGTGTCTCACATGTGGTGTTGGGACTGCAGGTGCACAGAAGTCAAGAATTGATATTTGGGAGCCTCTGCCAAGATTTCAGAGGACATATGTAAATGCCTGGATGGCTAGGCAAAAGTTAGCTGCTGGCCAGGTGCAGTGGCTCATGCCTGTAATCCCAGCACTTTGGGAGGCTGAGGCAGGCATATCACTTGAGGTCAAGAGTTCAAAACCAGCCTGGTCAGCATGGTGAAACCCAGTCTCTACTAAAAATACAAAAAAAAAGTTAGCAGGGCATGGTGGTGCATGCCTATAATGCCAGCTACTTGGGAGGCTGAAGTGGGACAATCATTTGAACCTGGGAGGTGGAAGTTGCAGTGAGCCAAGTTAGTGCCACTGCACTCCAGCCTGGGTGACAGAGTGAGACTCCATCTCAAAAAAAAAAAAAAAAAAGAAGAAGAACAAGAGGAGGAGGAGGAAGAGGAAGAGGAGGAGGAAGAGGAAGAGGAAGAAGTTTGCTGCAGGGGCAGAACCCTCATGGAGAATCTCTGCTAGGGCAGTGCAGAAGGGAAATGTGGGGTTGGAGCCCCCACACAGAGTTCTTACAGGGTCACTGCTTGGTGGAGCTGTGTGAAGAGGGTCGCCATCCTCTAGGCCCCAGAATGGTAGATCTACCTACAGTTCGTACTGTGTGCCTGGAAAAGTCACAGACATTCAATGCCAGCCTGTGGAAACAGCTGGGAAGGGGGCTGTACCCTGCAAAGCCACAAATGCAGAGCTGCCCAAGGCCATGGGAGCCCACCTCTTGCATCAGCATGACCTGGATGTGAAACATGGAGTCAAAGGAGATCACTTCGGAACTTTAAGGTTTAATGACTGTTCTACTAGATTTTGGACTTGCATGGGGCCTCTGGCCCCTTTGTTTTGGCCAGTATCTCCCATTTGGAATGGGTGTATTTACCCAATGCTTGTACCCCATTGTATCTAGGAAGTAACTAACTTGCTTTTAATTTTATAGACTCATAGTCAGAAGGGACTTGCCTTGTCTCAGAAGAGACTTTGGATTTGGACTTTTGAGTTAATGCTGGAATGAGTTAAGACTTTGGAGGACTGTTAGAAGGGTATGATCATGGTTTGAAATGTGAGGACATGAAATTTGAGAGGGGCCAGGGGAGGAATTATATGGCTTAGTTTTGTGGACCCACCTAAATCTCATCTTGAATTTTAATCCCATAATCCCATGTGTCTTGGGAAGGATCTGGTGGGAGGTAATTGAATCATGGGGGCAGTTTACCCCATGCTGTTCTCATGATAGTGAGTGAGTTCTCATGAGATCTGATGATGTTGTAAGCACCTGACATTTCCCCTGCTGACACTCATTCTCTGTCTCCTGCTGCCCTGTGAAGAGGTGCCTTCTGCCATTATTGTAAGTTTCCTGAGGCCTCCCTAGCCATGCAGAATTGAGAGTCAATTAAACCTCTTTTCTTTATAAATTATCTAGTCTTGGGTATTTCTTCATAGCAGCATGAGAATGGACTAATACGGGCTCCATCTTTTGAAGAGAGGAGTGTCAAAGGTTTGTGACTATATTTTAAAACCACCAGTTATTATGAGTCAAAAAGTATGTTTTCTAAAAATATTGTGCTTCAATTATACAATGCAACTTAACCATTTGATGTCCTGCTATATATAATATTACTACAGTAAGTCATTCTTGGACCAGGAAGAAAGTTTCCTTAGAGAAGAAAGGAGTAGAAAAAGGAGGAGGAGAAGGAGATGGAATAAGAGGAAGAGGAATAAGAAAGAGAAGGTGAAAAAGAAAGATTGGGAAGGGAGGAGAAAAAAGCAGGAGGGGGAAGAGGAAAAGAAACAGCTGTTATCGTCCATGCTGTATAGTTCAGTTGTTTTTCTTATTGCTCTGACTGGGTCATGTGCTATTCCTGATTTGATCACTGTATCAAGGAAATTCTATGTCTTACAGGGCAGACCCAAGGCACACAGGCACATAGGCACATAACCATTCCTGGTCTAGGATAGCTTCAACACCTTGAAAGCATATGGACTCAAGTGGAAGAAGAGTGAGGTACCAGAGAAATCAGAGTTGTGGTTCCCTAAAGCATGAGTTGATTCTAGGTAGCCAAAAACAGATACCCACTAACAGACGTCTATAAATATATATATATATATATATATATATATATATATATATATATATATATATATATTTATGGCGTGTGTGTGTGTGTGAATTAATCACCCCAACAGCTATTTGAGGAATATAGGAATTTAAAAGTGAAAAAGGGGTAAAATCTTAGAAGGAAAGGGGACATGAGCATAAAGATATATATTTTTTTAAAAATACATTTATTCAAAAGGGACCTGTAAGTTAAACATATATTTTTTAAATCTATACATCATTAGTAAAAAATGACCATGTTAGAATGTCTCAAAGCTATGCAAAGCAAATAATATTAATTTTGAAAGATTAGGTATCTCACCACATATGAGGTGGTCAGAATGAAAAGATGAAAATGAGATTGAGTCCAGCATGAATAAAATAAAGACTGGGGAATAATTGCTCTAGTCTAGGGACATGACCAGGCAAGTCTCAGTGGCTCTCATTATAGAAATGGATGAATCAAGTTCATCATTTCCAGATATTCTTGAATAACTGATTAATCTACTAATCCTTATTGCTCTTATTAAGTGCTTATCAAGTAACTATGTAATATTTGGTTTCCCTGTAGGTTGCTCTATAAGAAAGAGAATATCTGGCAGTCTCCTTTAATATTACTCTTTCTGAATTAGTTAACTGGCATCCTGGTAAGATTCTTCTGAATGTGTATCATGAGTGGTGCAATGTCAGGATAATCAGATTCATGCCTGTCTGTGTCTTTCCCAAAATATCAGACTTTTATTGATACTATCTCAATCATAAAAGCCACGAGCTATATGGAGTTCCCAAGGAAGCAGTTCTCTTTAGTAATTCCCACTCACTGGTAATTAGAGCTGTAGGCACACTGGCTCAAGCCACTCCACAAGTCAGTCAATATTGCCAACCATACATGATAGTATACTTAAACAATACATGTTATAGATTAAACATTCCACAACAAACTAAGTGACATTTAACATCAAGAGAAAAGAGATAGCAAAAACAGGTTAACAGACCAGTTCGTAGAGAGTGATGTAGGCCAAAAGAATATCCTGGTCTGGCCCAGGTGGTTGCTGGTCTTTCACAGAAGAGTCTTTGATGTGGACAGAGTCTTTGGCAGCAGATGCTGGTTGCTTATCATGAATGCTAGAAAGAGAGTGTCTGTTAAGACAGCCATTTTGAGCTGCTGAAGTCATGCTCTTTTATTTCCCTAGAATCCTCTGGTGAGGACTGACAGTGGAAGAGTGTACTTTGTCCTTATCTGGTTGGGTCCAGTCTTTATTGATCAAGCAAAACATCTAGTCCCGGTTGGCAAGGTGCCTTTTGAAATGTAAGATTGAGTCTTTTCCTAAGATGGAGTTACTTATGTCAATGGTGCCCTATACAATGAGGTTATCTCATATCATTCAACCCTGAAAGATTGACATACTCTATATTTTAACTAAAATATGCTCTTCCTGCTGCCCTTAATTACAATAAAATACAATAATGCTACCTCTGGGTAGCCAGTCAGGCAACCTCTGTAAAAAACCCCATATAACTGTATTCCCTTTTCAACTTTCGTTAAAGATTAGTACCAATGAGTATTGCTCTCTGCCCTTTGCAGCAGATGTGCATTAATCCGATGGCATTAATCTGGTCAACCTTGAATTTATTCATTCCTCACCCCTGCTGGTAATATGAGTGGCACTTCCATTTACAGCATAAAGACCTAGAGGCAAGACTGAAACTAGCGTGTTGTCCCTTTTCTCATACTTCTGTTTTTATACTAAGAATTTGCTCCAGATTTGAGTTCAGTCCCCAAAGTCTAAGAGAATCTTCATTTTTATTCAGCAAACTGTCTTTGCCACTTCATAGTTTAAAAAAAGAAAAAAAGGACGCAGGTGCACTTTTGATACAATGGCAGCCTGGGAGATGCAGATTCCAGAGGGAATCCAGATGCAGATTCCAGAGGGCAGGCACCATGTTTCTGACCACCCTCTTCATCCGTACTCACATACCTGCTAGACAGTGGATCGGGATGCACTGGTGGCTGCTGCCCCTCATTGCACACCAAGCAGAACATGATCTATTGCCTACAGATCAGGGTGGAAAATCACTACTGGCTGTAAATACCCTATTGACCTTGGAGCAGCAGCATGGCCATGCTGCTGCAGTGTGCAGGGCAGAGGCCATGGAGCCCATGAAGGTGGCCAATACTTCCAAGGTCCCCCAACATAGATCTGTTGTAGACAAGATTGACCATCTCAATGTCATCCAGAAATGGTCCTAACTCTGAGTCATTACCTTTTGATTTTATAGATCGCGAGGCTGCCCCATTGTTACTGGGTACCAGAACTACAAATCTGTAGCTTATATAAAAATGTGAGCCTTTAGACCAGATACTTATTTAAACAAACAAATATGAGCATCGTGGTCTGCATATAGAATATTCGGGCTCTAAACTTCTCAATACTTAAAAGTCCAATTATTCTCCGACTGTGTTTCTTGTTTATTTAGCCTGATATGCAGATGGGGATTTCCTGAGTCACAGATAATGTAAAACATATTTTGAATGAAAGTTTTAATAAAGCCACTGGTATGATTAGACATTGTGTCCCCACCCAAATCTCATTTTGAATTGTAATCCCCAGGTGTTGAGGGAGAGACCTGGAGGGAAGTGATTAGATCACAAAGGCGGTTTCCCCCAAGCTGTTCTCATGATAGTGAGTGAGTTCTCATGAGATCTGATGGTTTTTTATAAGGGGGTCTTCTGCCTTCTCTCTGTCACTCAGTCTCTCCTGCCATCTCGTGAAGAAGATGCCTGCTTCCCCTTCCACCGTGATTGTAAGTTTCCTGAGGCTTCCCCAGCCATGTGAAACTGTGACTCAATTAAACCTCCTTTGTTTATAAATTACCCAGCCTCAGGTAGTATCTTTATAGCAGTGTGGGAACAGACTAATACAGCCACAAACTATGAGTTGGGTTCTTTGCTTAAGTATGAGATGCTTGATGGGGACTTTATCATGCAATATTAATTTGCTTACCTTCTTAAGCTTAGATGGTAAATGAGCTTTTTTATTTAAACATACTCCTAAAAATAACATTGCCTTCTGGGATTTGACTACTAAAAGTGAACATTTAAAAGTAAAAGATATTCTCAGAACTATTTTTTTAAAACAGAGAAAAAAGTGACATTTGAAGAAGAACCTTTGGATATTTTCAGATAAGCAAACTTCTTATCTTCTCATGATCTGCATTTTAATCTCTAAATGAAGGGGATTAGGGAAGGTGGAGCAAGAAGGCCAAATAGAATCCTTCAGGGTTCCCACAGGAACATCAAATTAAACAAATATCCATGCAAGCAAACACCTTCATAAGAACCAAAAAAAAAGTGGGTAATCACAGTACCTGGTTTTAACATAATAACAAGGAAAGAGGCATTGAAGTGGGTAAGACAGACAGTCTTGCATTGTAACACATTCTGCAACCCCAGGCAGGGCAGCATGGAGAAAGAATCCATGGGCTTAGGGAAGAGAAAGTGAAGTGAGCGTGGGTTTTAGCATTGAAACTCAGAGCCACCTAGTCACAGTGGAATACAACACCAGGCAAAATTCTGCCAGTGCCAACTGAGGGAGCATTTAGACCACACAGTCATGGATCAAAGGGGGACTCCTCTGCCCCAGGAAGAGAAAGTCACTTCCTGGCCAACTTCATCACTAGTTGACTAAAGTGACCTGGGGCCCTGGATAAATCTGAGTGGCAGTTGGGCCATAAGGACTGCAGTCCTTGTGGAAGCCCTGATGCTGCAGTGGACTTGGGGTGTGACAAAGTGCAACAACAGTCGCAGTGGCCATGATAGTGCCTGAATCACCCCTCCCCCACCTCCCAGCAATGCAGCTCCTGTAGCAACTCCTTTTACTTGGGGGAAGGAGAGGTAAGAGTACAGAGGACTTTGTCTTGCAACTTAGGTGCCAACTCAGCCACAGTAAAACAAAGCACCAGGCATATTCCTGAAGCCCCCAATTTCATTTATTTGCTCCTGGATGGCGTTTCTAGGTACAACTTCAGCCAGAAGGGAATCCACTGCCCAGATGACAGCTACCCAGTCCCAGCAGGATTCACTAACTGCTGACTAAAGGGGATTTAGGCCTTAAGTAAATATCTGTGACAGCCAGACTGTGGTGGCCTCAGGCCCTGGGTGAACTCTAGTACTATGCTGGTCTGGAAAGCCATGGGCTTCAGGTGTGACTCAACATGATGCCAGCTGTGGTGGCCAAAAGAGTGCCTGTGCCATCCCACCCACAACTCCAAGGACAGAAAAAAAAAACTCCCTCACAGAGAAATACTACTTCTGATTGGAGAGAGCAGAGGAAAGAGAGTGAGAGACTTTGCCTGGTAACCCAGGGAATTCTCCTTTTATCTTCCCCAAGTCTACCAAGTCTGTGTATCTACACAAGTCTGTGTATCTTTTCACATGAGAGGGACTTAAAGAACCCTCTCATGTGAAAATGCTGCAGGGACCACAAGCTTAGGTCACAACACTTAGTCCCCTTTGAATTATTGGAAAGCCCTCTAAACAAGGACAAATATAAACAAACTCAGACTGCAAAGATTGAAATAAAAACCTGACTTTTCAATGCCCAGACATTGACAAATGTTCTCAAGGATCAAGAACATTCAGGAAAACATGACCTCACCAAATGAACTAAAAAAGGCATCTGTGACCAATCCTGGAGTGATGATGATATGTGACCTCTCAAGCAGGGAATTCAATATAGCTGTGTTGAGGAAGCTCAATCATCTCAAGGTAACACAGAGAAAAAATTCAGAATTCTATTATACAAATGTAACAAAGAGATTGAAATAAAAATTTAAAAAAAATCAAGTAGAAATTCTTGAACTGAAAAATTCAATTAACAAGCTAAAAAAATGCATTAGAGCCTCTCAATGGCAGAATTGCTTGAGCAGAAGAAAAACATTAATGAGCTTGAATACAGGCTATATAAAAATACACAATCAGAAGAGAAAATAAGAATGAAAAAGAATGAAACACATATACAAGATTCAGAAAATAGTCTCAAGAAGGCAATTCTAAGAGTTATCGGCCTTAAAGAGAGAGAATGGGGTAGAAAGTATATTCAAGAAAATAATAACAGAGAATGTTTCAAACCTGGAGAAAGATATGAATATCCAGTTACAAGAAGGTCAAAGAACACTGGGCAGATTCAACCCAAATAAGACTATTTCAAGTCATGTAACAGTCACCATCAAAAGTCAAAGACAAAGAAAAAATTCTAAAAGCAGCGAAAGAAAAAAAAACAACATATAAATGAGCTCTGATAACGTTGACAGTCAACTTCTCAGAGAAAGTCTTAAGAGCTAGGAGGAAGTGGGATGACATATTCAAAGTGTTGAAAGAAAAAAACTTTTCAACCTAGAATAGTATATCTAGCAAAAATTATCCTTCAAACATGAAGAAGAGTTTTCCAGACCAAAAAAACTGACAGATTTTTTTCAACACGAGACCTCTCTTAAAAAAATGCTAAAGGAAGGTAGTCAATGTGAAAGAAAAGAACATTAATGAGCAACAAGAAATCATCTGAAGTTGTAAAACTCGCTGGTAAAAGTAAGTACACAGACAAATACAGAATATTCTAACACTGTAACTGCAGTATGTAAATCACTCATATCTTTAAATAAAAGATAAACCTATCAAAAATAATAGCTACAACAATTTTTTAAAAGAGATAGACAATATAAAAAGATAAAAGAGAAAAAAACTCAAAAAGCAGGGAGGGGATGATGGAATTTAAAGTGTGAAGTTTTTTAGTTTCCTCTTTGATTTTTTTATTTTCTTTGTGATCAGAGTTAAATTGTCATTGGTTTAAAATAATTGGTTATAAGGGATTATTTGCAAGCCCTATTTATGGTCATCACAAAATAAACATCTACAACAGATACACAAAAAATAAAAAGCAAGAAAATAAAACACACTACCAGAGAAAATCACTTTTGCAAAAAGGAAGACAGAAAGAAGGAAAAAAAGGAAGAGAGTACCAACAAAACAACCCGAAAACAAATTTTTAAAATGGCAGTAGTAAGTCTCTAAATATCAATAATAACATTGATTGTCTAATTAAAAACATACAGTGTGGTTTAATGGATTAAAAAATAAGACTTAACTCTGTGCTCTTTGCTGCCTACAAGAAATCCACTTCATCTAAAAAGGCACAAATAGACTGAAATAGAAGGAATGTAAAAAAAAAAAATTCCATGCAAATGGAAACCAAAAAAGAGTAGAAGTAGCTATACTTATATCAGATAAAATAGATTTCAAGACATAAAGTGTATAAAGAGACAAAAGGTCACTAATAATGATAAAGGGGTCAAATCAGCAAAACAATATAATTATTGTAAATATGTATGCATTCAATGCTGGAGCACCCAGACACACAAAGCAAATATTATTAGAACTAAAGAAAAAGATAGATTCCAATACAGTAATGCCCCAACACCCGATTTTTAGCAATGCACAAGTTATTGAAACAGAAAATCAACAAGGATACAATAAACTTAACCTGTAACACAGACCAAATGGACATAATAGATACTCACAGAACATACATTTAACAGCTGCAGAATACAAGTCCTTCTCCTCAGCACATAAAACATTCTCAAGGATAAACCATATGTTAGACAACAAAACAATTATCAAAATTCTTTTTAATTACAGTCATATCAAGTCGTTTTTCTTACCACAATGGAACAAAACTAAAAGTTAATAAGAAGAGGAACTTTGAAACTATGAAATACATACAAATTAAACAATATTTTTCAAATAAACATTAGGGCAATGAAAAAATAAGAAGGAAATTTTAAAAATCAAGCCATAAAAGAAAACTGAAACACAACATACAAAACCTATAAGATAGAGCAAAAGCTGTACTAAGAAATTTATAGCAATAAATGCCTATAAGAGGGAAAATTAAGAAGGAAATTTTAAAAATCATACTATAAATAAAAATTAAAGAAAAATTTAAAAAATAATGTTATAAATGAAAATGGGAACACAGCATACCAAAACCTATGGGATAGAGCAAAACAGTACTAAGAGAGAAGTTTATAGCAATAAATGCCTACATCAAAAAAAAAACAGAAAAACTTCAAATAAACAACACAGCGCATCTTAAAGAACTAGAAAAGCAAGTGCAAACCAAACTCAAAATTAGAAGAAGAAAAAAATGAAGATCAGAGCAGAAATAAATGAAATTGATGCTAAAATAACAATAACAAAATAACAAAAGATCAGCAGGACAAAAAGTTGGTTTATTGGGGTAAACAAAACTGACAAGCCTTTATCCATACCAGGGGAAAAAAAAATAGAAGACCCAAATAAATAAAATCAGAGATGAAAAGGGAGATATTATAACTGATACTACAGAAATTTAAAGGATCATTAGAGACTATTAAGCAATTATATGACAATAAATTGAAAACACTTAGGAGAAATGAATAAATTCCTAGATACACACAACCTACCTACATTGAACCATGAAAAAATCTAAAACCTTAATAGACCAATAACAGGTAACAACCTAGAAGCAGTAATAAAAGGCTCCCATGAAGACAAAAAAAGTCCAGGACCTGATTGTTTCACTGCAAGAACTAATACCATTTTGACTCAAACTATTCCAAAAACATGAGGAGAAGGGAATACTTTGAAACTCATCCTACAAAGTCATTATTACCCTGATACCAAAACCAAAGACACAACAACAAAAAAGAAAATTTCAAACCAATATAGTTGATAAACATAGATGCAAAAATCTTCAACAAAATACTAGCAAACCAAATTCAATGATACACTAAAAAGATCATTCACCAAGATCAAGTGGGATTCATCCCAGTGATACAAGGATGGGTCAACATAGGCAAATCAATAAATGTGACACATCATATCAACAAAATGAAGGACACAAACCATATGGTCATTTCAATAAATGCCAAAAAAGCATTTGATAAAATTCCATATACTACCTTGATAAAAACTTTCAACAAACTGGATACAGATGAAACATGGTGGAACATGATAAAAGCCATATATGACAGACCCATAAAGAGTATCACATTGAATGAGGAAAAAGACCCTCTTGTAAGATCTGAAGCAAGACAAGGATGCCAACTTTCACCACTGTTATTCAACATAGAACTGGAAGTCCTAGCTAGAGAAATCAGACAAGAGAAAGAAACAAAGGGCATCAAAATTGGAAAGAAAAACATCAAATTATCCATGTGTGCAGACAATCTGACATTATATTTAGAAAAACCTAAAGATCCCATCAAAAAAACCATTAGAACTGATAAACAAACACAGTAAAGTTGCAGGACACAAAATCGACATGCAAAAATCTGTAGTTTTTGTATATGTCGACAGCAAATCATCTGAAAAAGAAACCAAAAAGGTAATCCCATTTATGATAGCTATGAATAAGATAAAATACTTAGGATTTAACTTAACCAAAGAAGTGAAAGATCTGTACAATGAAAACTACAAAACATTGATGAAAGTAATTAAAGAGGAAACAAAGAAAATGAAACATATTCCATGTTTATAGGTTGGAATAATCAATATTGTTAAAATCTCCATATTACTCAAAGCAATCTACAGATTCATGCAATCTCTATAAAAAATGATATTCTGCACAGAATTTTTTTAATCATAAAATATGTATAGAACCACAAAAGACATTCAACAGCCAAAGCAAACCTGAGCAAAAAGAAAAAGGTTAGAAGTGTCACATTACTTAACTTCAAATAATACTACAAAGCTATAGTAACCAAAACAACATGGAACTGGCATTGAAAACAAGACACATAGACCAATGGAATAGAATAGAGAACCCAGAAATAAATCCATGAATTTACAGTTGTAATAGTCCTTTTTCACACTGTGGAATTATATGGTTTGGCTCTATGCCCCACCTAAATTTCATCTTGATTTGTAATCCCCATAATCCCCATGTGTGGAGGGAGAGACCTGGTAGGAGGTGATTGGATCATGGGGGCAGTATCCCTTATGCAGTTTGTGTGATAGGGAGTGAGTTCTCATGAGATCTGATGGTTTTATCAGCATCTGACATTTCCCCTGCTTTCATTCTCTCTCTCTTACCTGTCCCCTGCTTTCCCTTCATGCCTCCCCAGCCATGCAGAACTGTGAGTCAATTAAACCTCTTTTCTTTATAAATTACCCAGTCTCCTGAATACAGCACACCGATGGGTCTTGACTCTTTATCCAATTTGGCAGTCTGTATCTTTTAATGGGGGCATTCAGTCCGTTTACATTTCAGGTTATTATTGTTATGAGTGAATTTGATCTATGATGCTAACTGGTTATGGTGCCGTTAATTGATGCAATTTCTTCATAGTGTTGATGGTCTTTACAATTTGGTATGTTTTTGAAGTGGCTGGTACAGGTTTTTCCTTTCCATATTTAGTGCTCCCTTTAGGAGCTCTGGTAAGGCAGGCCTGGTGGTGACAAAATCTCTCAGCATTTGCTTCTCAGTAAAGGATTTTATTTCTCCTTCACTTAGGAAGCTTAGTTTGGCTGCATATGAAATTCTGGGTTGAAAATTCTTTTCTTTAAGAATGTTGGCTACCACTCTCTTCTGGTTTGTAGGGTTTCTGCAGAGAGATCCACTGTTAGTCTGATGGGCTTCCCTTTGTGGGTAACCCGACCTTTCTCTCCATCTGTCCTTAACATTTTTTCCTTCATTTCAACTTTGGTGAATCTAATGATTATGTGTCTTGGGGTTGCTCTTCTTGAGGAGTATCTTTGTGGTGTCCTCTGTATTTCCTGAATTTCAGTGTTGGCCTGTCTTGCTAGGTTGGGGGAGTTCTCCTGGATAATATCCTGAAGAGTGTTTTCCAACTTAGTTCCATTCTCCCTGTTGCTTTCAGGTACACCAATCAAACACAGGTTTGTTCTGTTCACATAGCCCCATATTTCTTGGAGGCTTTCTTTGTTTCTTTTCACAGTTTTTTCTCTAATCTTGTACTCGCACTTTATTTCATTAAGTTGATCTTCACTCTCTGATATTTTTTCTTCTGTTTGTTTGATGCTGCTACTGATACTTGTGTATGCTTCATGAAATCCTTGTGCTGTGTTTTTCAGCTCCATCAGGTCATTTATTTTCTTCTCTAAATGGGTTATTCCAGGTAGCAATTAGTCTAACCTTTTTTCAAGGTTCTTAGCTTCCTTGCATTGGGTTAGAACATGCTCTTTAGCTCTGAGGAGTTTGTTATTACCCACCTTCTGAAGGCTACTTCTGTCAATTCATCAAACTCATTCTCCATCCAGTTTTGTTCCAATGCTGGCGAGGAGTTGTGATCCTTTGGAGGAATAGAGATGTTCTGGTTTTTGGAATTGTCAGCGTTTTTATGCTGATTTTTCCTCATCTTCATGGATTTATCTACTTTTGGTCTTTGATGTTAGTGACCTTCAGATGGGGTTTTTGTGTGGATATTCTTTTTGTTGATGTTGACAGTATTCCATTCTGTTTGTTAGTTTTCCTTCTAACAGTCAGTCCCCTCTGCTGCCGGTCTGCTGGAGTTTTCTGGAGATCCACTCCAGATCCTGTTTGCCTGGGTATCACCAGCAGAGGTGCAGAAGATCAAAGATTGCTG
Source organism: Homo sapiens (assembly GCF_000001405.40). Taxonomy (NCBI): domain Eukaryota; kingdom Metazoa; phylum Chordata; class Mammalia; order Primates; family Hominidae; genus Homo; species Homo sapiens. Next base: position 163,047,993 of record NC_000005.10, read on the forward strand.
CCTGTTCCTTCCTCTGGAAGCTTCATCTCAGAGGAGCATCCGCCAGATGCCAGCCGGAGCACTCCTGTATGAGGTGTCTGTCAACACCTGCTGAGAGGTTTCTCCCACTTAGGAGTCATGGGGGTCAGGGACCCACTTGTGGAGCCAGTCTGTTGCTTAGCAGAGCTCAAGCACTGTGCTAGGAGATCTGCTGCTCTCTTCAGTGTTGGCAGGCAAGAATGTTTAAGTCTGCTGAAGCTGCACCCACAGCTTCCCATTCCCCCAGGAGCTCTGTCCCAGGGAGATGGGAGTTTTATCTATAAACCCCTGACTGGGGCTGCTGCCTTTCTTTCAGAGATGCCCTGCCCAGAGCGGAGGAATCTAGAGAGGCAGTCTGACTGCAGTGGGTTTGTCGAGCTGTGGTGGGCTCCACTCAGTTCGAACTTCTTGGTGGCTTTGTTTACACTGTGAGGGAAAAACCACCTACTGAAGCCTCAGTAATGCCGGATTTCCCTCCCCCAAACCAAGTTGGAACATCCCAGGTTAACTTCAGACTGTTGTGCTGGCAGCGAGAATTTTAAGCCAGTGGATCTTAGCTTGCTGGGCTCTGTGGGGATGGGATCCACTGAGCAAAACTACTTGGCTCCCTGGCTTCAGGCTCCTTCCAGGGGAGTGAACACTTCTGTCTTGCTGTTGTTCCAGGTGCCACTGGGGTATGAAAAAACTCCTGCAGCCAGCTCGGTGTCTGCCCAAACAGCCACCCAGCTTTGTGCTTGAATCCCAGGGCACTGGTGGTGTAGGCACCGGAGGGAATCTCCTGGTCTGCAGGTTGTGAAGATGGTGGGAAAAGCATAGTATCTGGGTCAGAATGCACCCTCCCACATGGCACAGATCCTCACAGCTTCTCTTGCAAGGGGAGGGAGTTCCCCGACCCCTCATGCTTCCTGGGTGAGGCAATGCCTGACTCTGCTTCATCTTGCCCTCCGTGGGCTTCATGTACTATCTAACTAGTACCAATGAGATGAGCCGGGTACCTCAATTGGAAATGCAGGAATCACCCACCTTCTGCATTGATCTCATGGGGTGCTGCAGACTGAAGCTGTTCCTATTCGGCCATCTTGCCAGCCACACCTCAAGGACACGCATAGGCTCAAAATAAAGGGATGGAGGAAGATTTACCAAGCATTGCAAAAAAAAAAAAAAAAAAAGCAGGGGTTGCAATCCTAGTCTCTGATAAAACACTTTAAACCAACAAAAGTCAAAAGAGACAAAGAAAGCCATTACATAATGGTAAAGGGATCAATTCAACAAGAAGAGCTAACTATCCTAAATATATATGCACCCAATACAGGGGCACCCAGATTCATAAAGCAAGTTCTTAGAGAACTACAAAGAGACTGAGACTCCTACACAATAATAGTGGGAGACTTTAACACCCCAATGTCAATATTAGACAGATCAATGAGACAGAAGATTAACAAGGATATTCAGGACTTGAATTCAGCTCTGGACCAAGGGGACCTAATACACATCTACAGAACTCTCCACCCCAAATCAACAGAATATACATTCTTCTCAGCACCACATAGCACTTATTCTAAAATTGACCACATAATTGGAAGTAAAACACTCCTCAGCAAATGCAAAAGAATGGAAGTCATAACAAACAGTCTCTCAGACCACAGTGCAATCGAATTAGAACTCAGGATTAAGAAACTCACTCAAAACCGCACAACTACATGGAAACTGAACAACCTGCTCCTAAATGACTACTGGGTAAATAACGAAATTAAGTCAGAAATAAAGAAGTTCTTTGAAAACAATGAGAACAAAGACACAAGGTACCAGAATCTCTGGCACACAGCTAAAGCAGTGTTAAGAGGGAAATTTATAGCACTAAGTGCCCACAGGAGAAAGCGGGAAAGATCTAAAATCGACACCCTAACATCACAATTAAAGGAACTAGAGATGCAAAAGCAAACAAATCCAAAAGCTCGCAGAATACAAGAAATAACTAAGATCAGAGCAGAACTGAAGGATTTAGAGACACAAAAAACCCTTCAAAAACATCAATGCATCCAGGAGCTGTTTTTTTTTTTTAAGATGAACAAAATAGACCACTAGCCAATTAATAAAGAAGAAAATATAGAAGAATCAAATAGACACAATGAAAAATGATAAAAGAGATGTCACCACCAACCCCACAGAAATAAAACCACCATCAGAGAATAGTAGAAACACGTCTATGCAAATAAACTAGAAAATCTAGAAGAAATGGATAAATTTCTGGATACATACCCCCTCCCAAGACTAAACCAGGAAGAAGTTGAATCTCTGAATACACCAATAACAGGCTCTGGAATGGAGGCAATAATTAATAGCCTACCAACCAAAAAAAGTCCAGGACCAGAAGGATTCACAGCTGAATTCTACCAGAGCTACAAAAAGGGGCTGGTACCATTCCTTCTGAACTATTCCAAACAATACAAAAAGAGGGACTCTTCCCTAACTCATTTTATGAGGCCAGCATCATCCTGATACTAAAACCTGGCAAAGACAGAACAACAACAAAAAATTTCAGGCCAATATCCCTGATGAACATCAATGTGAAAATCCTCAACAAAATACTGGCAAACCAAATCCAGCAGCACATCAAAAAGCTTATGCACCGCGATCAAGTCAGCTTCATCCCTCGGATACAAGGCTGGTTCCACATATGCAAATCTATAAACGTAATTCATCACATAAACAGAACCAATGACTAAAACCACATGATTATCTCAATAGATACAGAAAAGGCCTTCGATAAAATTCAACACCTCTTCATGTTAAAAGCTCTCAGTAGACTAGGTATTGATTGAACATATCTCAAAACAATAAGAGCTATTTATGACAAACCCACAGCCAATATCATACTGAATGGGCAAAAGCTGGAAGATTTCCCTTTGAAAACTGGCACAAGACAAGGATGACCTCTCTCACCACTCCTATTCAACATAGTATTGGAAGTTCTAGCCAGGGAATCAGGCAAGAGAAACATATAAGGGGTATTCAAATAGAAATACACGAAGTCAAATGGTCTCTGTTTGCAGATGACATGATTGTATATTTAGAAAACCTTATCATCTCAGCCCAAAATCTCCTTAAGCTGATAAGCAACTTCAGCAAAGTCTCAGGATACAAAATCAAGGTGCAAAACTCAAGCATTCCTATACACCAATAAATCATGAGTGAACTCCCATTCACAATTGTTACAAAGAGAATAAAATACCTAAGAATACAACTTACAAGGGATGTGAAGGACCTCTTCAAGGAGAACTACAAACCATTGCTCAAGTAAGAGAGGACACAAACAAATGGAAAAACATTCCATCCTCATGGATAGGAAGAATCAATATCGTGAAAATGGCCATACTGCCCAAAGTAATTTATAGACTCAATGCTATCCCCATCAAGCTACCCTTGACTTTCTTCACAGATTTAGAAAAAAACTACTTTAAATTTCATATGGAAGCAAAAAAGAGCCTGTACAGTTAAGACAATCCTAAGCAAAAAGAACAAACCTGGAGGCATCACGCTACCTGACTTCAAATTATACTACAAGGCTACTGTGTCCAGAACAGCTTGGTACTGGTACCAAAACAGATATATAGGCCAATGGAACAGAACAGAGGCCTCAGAAGTAACAACACATCTACAATCATCTGATCTTTGACAAACCTGACAAAAACAAGCAACGGAGAAACAATTCCCTATTTAATAAATGCTGTTGGGAAAACTGGCTAGCCATATGCAGTAAACTGAAACTGGACCTCTTCCTTGCACCTTATAAAAAAATTTACTCAAGATGGATTAAAGACCTAAATGTATGACCTAAAACCATAAAAACCCTAGAAGAAAACCTAGGCAATACCTTTCAGGACATAGGCATGGGCAAAGACTTCATGACTAAAACACAAACAGCAATGGCAACAAAAGTCAAAATTGACAAATGGGATCTAATTAAACTAAAGAGCTTTTGCGCAGCAAAAGAAACTATCATCAGAGTGAACAGGCAACCTACAGAACAGGTGAAAATTTTTGCAATCTATTTATTTGACAAAGGGCTAATATACAAAATCTACAAGGAATTTAAACAAATTTAAAAGAAAAAGACAACCCCATCAAAAAGTGGGCAAAGGATATGAACAATCACTTCTCAAAAGAAGACATTTATGTGGCCAACAAACATATGAAAAAAAGGTCATCATCACTGGTCATTAGAGAAATGCAAATCAAAACCACAATGAGATACCATCTCATGTCAGTTAGAATGGTGATCATTAAAAAGTCAAAAAACAACAGATGCTGGAGAGGATGTAGAGAAATAGGAATGCTTTTACATTGTGGGTGGGAGTGTAAATTAGTTCAACCATTGTGGAAGACAGTGTAGCAATTCCTTAAGGATCTAGAACTAGAAATACCATTTGCCCCAGCAATCCCATTACTGGGTATATACCCAAAGGATTATAAATCATTCTACTATAAAGACACATGAGCATGTATGTTTATTGCAGCACTATTCACAATAGCAAAGACTTGGAACCAATCCAAATGCCCATCAAAGATAGACTGAATAAAGAAAATGTGGCATATGTATACCATGGAATACTATGCAGCCTTACAAAAAGGATGAGTTAATGTCCCTTTGCAGGGACATGAATAAAGCTGGAAACCATCATTCTCAGCAAACTAACACAAGTACAGAAAACCAAACATTGCATGTTCTCACTCATAAGTGGGAGTTGAACAATGAGAACACATGGACACAGGAAGGGGAACATCACACACCGGGGCCTATCAGGGGGTGGGGGGCTAGGGGAGGGATAGCATTAGGAGAAATACCTAATATAAATGACGGGTTGATGAATGCAGCAAACCACCGTGGCACATGTTGACCTATGTAACAAACCTGCACGTTCTGCACATGTATCCCAGAACTTAAAGTATAATGAATAAATTTTTTAAAAAAACCTGTTACCTAGAGCAAAAAATAAAAATAAAATGAAATAATAAATTACCCAGTCTCAGAAGTTCTTTATAGCAGTGTGAAAAATGAACTAATACAATAGTCAACACATTTTTGAGAATGGCTCCAAGAATATACATGGAGGAAAGAATAGTCTCTTCAATAAATGGTGCCAGGGAAACTGGATATTCATATGCAGAAAAAGGAAACTAGACCCCTATCTCTCCCCATATACAAAAATCAAATCAAAATGGATTAAAGACTTAATCCATGACTTCAAACTATAAAACTACTACAAGAAAACATAGGGGAAAATCTCCAGGATATTAGAGTGGGAAAAGACTTGAGTAATACATCCCACAGACACAGGCAACCAAAGCAAAAATAGACAAATGGGATAACATCAAGTCAAGCTTCTGTGCAGCATAGGAAATCATAAACAAACTGAAGAGACAACCCACAGAATGGGAGAAAATATTTGCATACTACCCATCTAACAAGGGATTAATAACCAAAATATATGAGAAGCTCAAACATCTCAACAAATAATTTGACTAGAAAATGGGCAAAAGATCTACGTAGCCATTTCTCAAAAGAAGACATACAAATGGCCAACAGGTATATGAAAAAATGTTCAACATTGCTACTCATCAGAGAAATGCAAATCAAAACTACAATGAGACATCATCTGACCCCAGTTAAAATGGCTTTTATGCAAAAGACAGGTAATAATGAATGCTGGCAAAGATGTAACAAAAGGGGAACTTCCATACTCTGTGGGAATACAAGTAGTACAGCCACTCTGAAGAACAGTATGGAGGTTTCTAAAAAAACTATGAACAGAACTACCATATGATCCAGGAATTTCACTCCTGGGTATACATCCCAGTGAAAGGAAATTAGTATTATCTAAGAAATAGCTCCATTCCCATGTTTATTGCAGCACTATTCACAATCACCAAGATATGCAATCAAAGTGTCCATCGTCAAATGATTGGATAAAGAAAAGTGTGGTACATACACACAATGGAATATTATTCAGCAATAAAAAAATGAAATCTTGTCATTTTCCAAAATACAGTGGAACTAGGGAATATTATGTTTATTGAAATACAAGTATCACATATTCTCACTCACAGGTGGAAGCTGAAAAAAAAAATTGAACTCATGGAGATAGAAAGTAGAATGACGGCTACCAGAGGATGGGAAGAAAAATGAGGCCTGGGACAAAGAGGGGATGGTTAATGGGTACAAAAATACACTGAGATAGAAGGAATGAGATCTAGTGTTCAGGAACACAACAGGTGACCATAGTTAAAAATAATTTATTGTATATTTCAAAATAACTAAAGGAGTGAAATTAGAATGTTCCTAATACAAAGAAGTGATAAATGCTTGAGGTGGTGGATATCCCAGTTACTCTGATTTGATCATTACACATTGTATGCTTGTATCAAAAACCCACATGTACACCAAAAACATATACAACCATTACGTATCCATAATAATTTAAAACAACTTTTAAAAAATCATAATAGTAATAAATAAAGGGCAACAACCATATAATGTTTGAAGTCTCCCGAAACCCTAACATCCCCAGAATCTATGGTTGATTCTTCTTGGGAGGGAAAATTACTATATTCTAGGCATCTGCCTTTGAAAACGGTATTCTTCAAGCTGTATAGCCTCTGAGCTACATATTGTTTTCACATCAATGTGATTTATCTCCTAAGCTATATTTTAAAAGCATTGAATTCCAGGATATTTCACCATACTTTAATCACATATACCTTTCTTCCTTGCACAGTATATATACTTCAGAAATACCCATCTAAAGATTCACTAGGCATGGGGCTGGGCTCGGTGGCTCACACCTGTAATGCCAGCACTTTGGGGGGCCGAGGCGGGTGGATCACAAGGTCAGGAGTTCAAGACCAGCCTGACCAGCATGGTGAAATCCCATCTCTACTAAAAATAAAAAAAAAATTATCTGGGCATAGTGGTGCACGCCTGTAGTCACAACTACCTGGGAGGCTGGCTTTGTTATTTCAATCCTAGTATAATTAAACTAAAACACAAACAAAGAAAGAAAAAATACAGGACAGTCAGAGAGATGGGAGCACTGGATATTTAATGATGCTAAACAATAACTGTGATTTTTATGGGTGGGGGCGAGTTGAAGGAGGGTGTGATAACAATATTGGTTTTTTTAAAAGCAGAATTCCTATCGTTTATGTTGAAAATTTTACAGATGAAGCTATATGAAATGCAGGGTTTTCTTCAAAATAATCTACAAAAGGGAAGATTACTAAATAGTTAATAATGTGAACAAATTTAGAAATGGGTTGACAATTGTTTAAACTGTTGATAGGTATTTGGGGTATCATATTTCTGTATCTACTGTTGTATATGTTTTACATTTTCATAAGATTTTTTTTTTTTACAAAAAGAAATACGTGTTGGCTGAGAAGACTCTGCAGCTCTTTGGATGCTTCACATACATGGACTGCACTGATGAGAGAAAATTACCAAAAAAGAAGGAGGAGGAGGAGAAGGAGGAGGAGGACAAGAACAAGAAGAACAAGAACAAAAAGGGAGGAGAAACCTAAGAACAAAAAGAGCATCAGAAAAATATTAAAGAAACTTAGATCTAAAGCTGTTCTTTGATTTAAAAAAAAAAATTAAAGGGAAAAACTCTAATAGTGCTCTAGGGGTGGGTCAACCACATAAAATTCACCTGCAACATGCTTTTGGTGTGATTCATTAACTCAGAGATGGTTTCCAGAATACTATTACCTTTGATGGGGTTCAGGACATGCTACCCCAAACTAGGACACTGTGGCAAACTGAATATTTTTAGCTGAAGGAATTTGAGAAACGACAGATGCTGGAAGGACTTTCTGACCTACTTTCCTGAAGCAGGTCATAAGACCTTCCTGTGAGAGGTGCCCTCACTATACCCAAAGGAAAGGAGTCTCCTTACATCTGAAGATGGAGAAATGCCAAAAGGAATCTTAATGAATAAGCCTTACTAAGTTTCCTCCAGTTTACTCCACTTAGCTCATACCCTTTTGTCCTATTACATTTTTCCCATAACTCTCTATTCTTAATCAAACTTAGTATAAAAACGCTTCGGCTTAACCATTTATTAGGGGTCTTCATTTCCTTATGAAGCTCCCATGTCACATAAAACATATACTAAATGAATTCATATGATCTTTTCCTGGTAATCTGTCTTTTGTTATAAAACCACAGATGAGAACCTAGAAGGGCAGAATGAAAAGATTTTTCTCCCTCTCCTACAGTTTTTGTTGACCACAAAGAGGCAGAAAAAGCCTGGAATACTCTACTCACCCCAGGGACTGCAGTTGAAGTCTAGGACAACTGTCAAATCTGACAGAAGATAAGAATTCTTACCATATCAGTTTCCGGGGTATCTGTCCATAGCGCCTGATCAAGAGAGGAAGGTATTAATAAAGCTGTTTTCTTGTTACTTCCTTTCCAAATTCAGATTTTCAGGAGAAAAGTATTGGTAAGAATAAATTTTTTGAGTTGTGACTCTTGTGAACTTGTTTTTGGGGTATTCATTGGTTATTGATCCTTTCTCAGGGACAAGTATTTTATCTTGTTTAGTGTTTATCTTGTTTAGTGTTCTGTAAACTTGGCTTGACTTTCTACCTGTCTGGGTAGACAGATTGTTGGGCCTACATCTGCAGGCAGTCAACCATTACACTGGGGATGCCAAGAGTAGGCTGGACAGAAATGTAGTTTGCACATCATTTGCTGCTAATGTCCTACCAACTTTTTGCTGTCTCCGGTGAGGTGGAGAGGGTGGTGTCTTCATCTGTTTTCCCTTTGGCTATATTTGGAAATAATTTTGGATCTTGGGAGGTCTGTATCTTTTGAAATTTCTTTTGGGATACCTCTTTTGTCCATGGATAAGTCATAAAAGGCTTACTGGTTTTGGTTTTGAGTCACTTGGAATAGACGTACTCTTGGGCAAAAAAAAAAAAAAAAAGAGTTAAGTCCTGCTAGGAATATTTATTGTTTGTCCCAAACAAATGATTTTTTAAAGTGCTCTAAGGTCGGAAGGTGATTTTTTTTTAAGTGCTCTAAGGTCAGAAGTTGGCCTAATCAGAAGTTGATATTCACAGCCTGAGAGGAGTTGTGATTTTCTGAGGCCTGTCCGCTCTTTCTATTTTATATTGCTCCTTCCATGGGAACTTGTCGACTAACACTCCTTTCTCAAAACCCTACTGATTCTATGCTCTGCCAGTGCTGCCCACCTTCTTCTCTTGGCATGATCTGCGGAGGATAATTTGGAATTTCACTGGCTTCTTAGGGAAACTTCTGATCTCCCCACACTGGCTCCCCAAGGTCCCTTTCTCCCCATTGCTTCTGCTCTTGCATACTCCTTTTGCCACCTCCCATCCTCATTCAGTTCTCCTGAATTCCAAGGTTCCCCTCCAAGGTCCTACCCTTTTTCATGTCAGCCTCTTAATCACTGAACTTTAGGTCCCTTTGTTGCTAGGGACTCCGGTTCCTCCAAAAGCAAATAACTGAAGTTGGAAAGAAAAAAGGCTAATTGACAATAAACTGAATATTTTATCCACTCAGCTGGGCTTTGAAGACATCCAGACAGCTGCTGGATATTTCCCCAGTCACTTCCCTAAAATGTAGCTTGCAGCCACCATAAGATTACATATCAGGGCAAAGGAAATCTAAAAAGCCTTCTCCACAAATACTGTGAGAAGTGTTTGCCCTCATATTGAATAGGTAAACTCAACTTGTCCCATTTATCTGAAATACAATTCAGATAAAAACAGCAAGTGGATATAAAGCAGTGAGTTTGTATTACTATTTTACTGACTTGTGGCTACAATTTTAGAATAAAATCAATTTTAGAAAAAAGATTTTATTTATATTTATAAATATTTACATATTTATTTGTATGTATGTGTATGTCTATATATTAATATGTACGTTACATATATGTGATATTTTTCCACCTCCAGGTAATATTACCAAATTAATTTATAAAATCCATTAAAGGAGTTCTATTCAAAATTGTTTAGAGAGGAATGAGCACTTATGTAAACTAATTATTCCTGAAACTCTCAGAAATATAGAAACATCCAAATTTTTTCTTTTTCTTCTTTTTTTTGATTCACATGAGGTAGGATATTCTTTGATATATAAAGCTAGTTTTAAGATTTTTGATAAATAAAAGCAGACATGTCTTCAGAGTTGTAAGTTTTTCTACATAGATTTACTAGTCAATCAAGCTTGTCTCTACTAGATGTTTAAGATTATGAAACTACAAATTTAACCTAGTAACAAATAAAAATACATTGCAACACTAAAAATAAATTGCTTTCTGCTTCTATGAGTTGAACTATTTTTAGATTCCACACATAAATGAGATCATGCAGTATCTTTCTCTAGCTGACTTATTTCATTTAACAAAATGTCCTCCAGTTTCATCTAACTTATTGCAAATGACAGAATTTCCTTCTTTTTTAAGGTTGAATAATATTCCATTATATATACAGATGTATATACACACACACACACATATATACATGTATACATACATACATTTAAGAAAGAAAGGGAGGAAGGAAGGAAGGAATGAAAGAAGGAAGGAAAAAGATGGAGAGAGGGAGGGAGGGAGGAGGAACGAAGGAAGAAAGAAAGGAAGGACTCTCTGAGGTGATGGATGTATTAATTACCTTGATTGTAGTGATTATTTCACAATGTATATGTATGTCAAATCATCAACTTGCACACCTTAAGTAAATACAATTTTTAATTTTGAAATATGCCTCAATAAAAATAAGTAAAGTCTTTCATGTATCCTGTTTGTCTTGGTCAGCCATATTAAAATATAATTATCTAAAAACTAAAAATAATCAAAGTTAAAATTAAAGCAAGTTATAAAACTGGCAGACCTATCAGACACATCAAAGATTCAAACCAGGAAGGGCATGGAAATCCGCAGGATGCCAGCTTCATATTTGCTTTGCTGCTGGTTGGAAAAAACCTATGTGATGCCAACAATTCCCATGCTTCAGTATGACAGATGCTTCTTTCTCCTCACATTCTACAGTGATTCCTTTGAGAGAATAGCAAAGACCAGCCTTATTTAGACTTGTGAAAATGTGAAGATGTTCCAGCCACTATGATTTTCCACCTCTTCTGTCACAAGAAATTCTAATTCTACATTATCTGCATGCCTTTGAAAAAATCAGCTGCTGGCTTTCTGAGACCAGATTAAAAAAGAATAATAAGTATTAACTCATTTCAAATGTGTTTGATCATGAAGAAAGGAGAAAATATGTATAAAGAGATAAAGGTGAGACATGTAGAAGTAAAAACATTGTGTTGTATGTCCAGGGACCAAAGTCTAGTCCACTTCTGACATTAGCCCTGCCTTTTGAACAAAGTCATCTAAAGCTCTTGAAAAATTCAGCAGTTACTGAAGTCATTCAGTAAACTATAAAGTATTAGAAATTATGTGACTATATATGTGCATATACATATGATATATTTATCTGTGCATATAAAAGAGTATGTGTGTATATATAGTGTGTATATGTATACATACATATATACACTTATATGTATATGTATACATACATATATACATGTATGTGTATGTGTATATGTATGTATACATACATATATACATGTATGTGTATGTGTATATGTATACATACATATATACATGTATGTGTATGTGTATATGTATACATACATATATACATGTATGTGTATATAGTGCGTCTGTGTATACATACATATATACATGTATGTGTATATAGTGCGTCTGTGTATACATACATATATACATGTATGTGTATATAGTGCGTCTGTGTATACATACATATACACATGTATGTGTATATAGTGCGTCTGTGTATACATACATATACACATGTATGTGTATATAGTGCGTCTGTGTATACATACATATACACATGTATGTGTATATAGTGCGTCTGTGTATACATACATATACACATGTATGTGTATATAGTGCGTCTGTGTATACATACATATACACATGTATGTGTATATAGTGCGTCTGTGTATACATACATATACACATGTATGTGTATATAGTGCGTCTGTGTATACATACATATACACATGTATGTGTATATAGTGCGTCTGTGTATACATACATATACACATGTATGTGTATATAGTGCGTCTGTGTATACATACATATACACATGTATGTGTATATAGTGCGTCTGTGTATACATACATATACACATGTATGTGTATATAGTGCGTCTGTGTATACATACATATACACATGTATGTGTATATATAGTGTGTATATATGTATACATATATAGACGTATGTGTATATATAGTGTATATATGTATATATACGTATATACATGTATGTGTATAAATATATACATGTACACACACATATACAAAATGTTATATGTATACTTAGCCATCAAAAAGCTCTCAGATTTTCTTTTTTCTTCATTCCCTTTATGAGCTATTCAAAAGTTCAAGTATTTCTTGAACACAGGTAATTTACATGGTGCTGTTAGAATACATACATTCATTATATGTCTATAACAAGATACGTACTTTCTTATTATAAAAAGCTCTCAAATTTTCCATTTCTTTGCTCTGCAGGCTCAGACTCTCTCTTTGAAAACCTAAGACTCTATGTTAAAGACTTTGAATCTCAGTCAGCAGATAATGTTTATTAATCCATCTATTTCATCCTTCTGTCCATCCATCCATTCATCCACTCAGTGTTCTCAAAACTCCAAGGTAGTAGTAACATGGTGAGGTTTGATATCTTTCAGGAAAGAAAATAAGAAATTATCCTAGTTCTACTTTGCTGTTACTATTTGCTTGTTTCTTATTTTAAGTACTGTTTTTTAATTTATAGAAAGGATGGCAGATAATGGGCCCCTAAGGGAAGGAGCATGTATTCTCATGTATCTCCAGGAATTAGTGAGGTACTCATAAGTATTTGGAAAAGTGAATGTACGCACATACATAAACATGAAGGTACTTCAAGACCAACATGCTAAAAGCTTCTCTAGGAATACAGAATTATTTCAAGAAATCTTGTCTGAGGTTTATTATGAAAGATGAAATCAAAGACTCAAAGAAAGGAATATTTCCTTATTCCTCTTTTGTTCAAACTTCACCATGTTTGAGCAGTGGAGGACAATGGAGAGAGGAGAAAAGAGTGGAAAAGGAGAAAGGGAGAAATTGGGAAAAACAGTCTGGAGTGCTGTATGCATGGCCAAAAGAAGAAAAAAGTAGATGGTGTATTAAGAGTAGCATTACCCGCTGGGTGCGGTGGCTCATGCCTGTAATCCCAGAACTCTGGGAGGCCAAGGCGGGTGGATCATCTAAGGTCAGGAGTTTGAGATCAGCCTGGCCAACGCGGTGAAACCCCATCTCTACTAAAAATACAAAAATTAGCCAGGCATGGTAGTGAATGCTTGTATCCCAGCTACTTGGGAGGCTGAAGCAGGAAAATCACTTGAACTCAGGAGGCAGAGGTTGCAGTGAGCTGAGATCGAGCCATTGCACTCCAGCCTGGGCAATAGAGCAAGACTCTGTCTCAAAAAAAAAAAAAGAAAGAGTAGTATTACAGCTAGTTATCCATAGTCCTCTGCCCCGTCATTTCAAATCCAAGTTATTTCTATTTTAAGAATAATGAAAATGTTGTACCAACGCCATTAATGAATATTAATCTAGTTAAAATATCAATTTTTAAAAATAAATTTAGAAATAAAAACAGTTCTATTTATCTGCTTGTCACCAAAAAAAAAAAAAGAGAGAATTGCTTGATGTATATCAAGCATGGCAGGAAAAAAAGAAAAAAAAACTGTAGGCTTAACTTTTTAGTTTTTTTGCCTCTGTGATGTTTGGTGCTTGCTTAATATACGTATGTTAGAAAATGACGTGATGGTTAGCTTTGTTTGCTATCATAGTATGTGTGCCTGAAAACTGTTTCCAAATTTTTTTTGGTAACTTGCAACCTTAATGCTATGCTAAGTAATACATATTTTAAATTCATATTAATTTTAAATATTAAATATATTAATAGATTGAAGGTATTAAATATTAAAGGTATGAAAATTATTAACTAAAAATCATAAGATAAAAACTCAAACATTCATTAAAAAACATAAGTTTAAATTTATACTTCTGTCATCTTATTTTTATATGGTATAGAAAGGCTAAATATATTTGTCTGCTAACAAACATAAAAAATTCTACAGCAGAAAATTTTATGCTTTAGAAAATGTAAAAAATTCTTCCTCATAGAATTCATATATTCTATGAGGAAGTATATGCTTTTAAAAATTGTGAGATGAAATATTCACAAAATTTTCTGGTCTGCTATAGAATGTTGGTATGTGACAGACAATTCACAATTGCCTACTTTATAGTCTTCTCCATAAAAGAGAGGTCACTAATGGCTGAAATTTATAATTAATATATGTAAATAAAATTACTAGAAACTATAAGTATAAAGGAAAACAACTTTGTAGGCCAAGTATGTGAGGTATGAAGAATATGTTTTTGTTCTGAGGAAATGAAAGTATTTATATTCCGTTGTAGGACTGTGTCCTTATAGGTTTAGGTTGTTTCCTCAACTATAAACATCTCAGGACCATGGGTTGTGACTGACAAGGAATGTGCCCTGCTTGTTTAAGATGGAGTTGATTTTAAAATGGTGTTACTCTGGCTCTCTTGGGCTTCTGCCTCTGTAACAAAACTACCAACCCAAGATCAAGCAAACAACCTGACAGTGGGCTTACAGTGATACTTAACCTTCTTTATATTTGTCAGTCATTTTAAGTATTTTGTCATTTAAAGATACTGTTTTACTTTCTTTTTATTATTATTATTATTATTATTATTATTATACTTTAAGTTTTAGGGTACGTGTGCACAACGTGCAGGTCTGTTACATATGTATACCTGTGCCATGTTGGTGTGCTGCACCCATTAACTCGTCATTTAGCATTAGGTATATCTCCTAATGCTATCCCTCCCCCCGCCCCCCACCCCACAACAGTCCCCAGTGTGTGATGTTCCCCTTCCTGTGTCCATGTGTTCTCATTGTTCAATTCCCACCTATGAGTGAGAACAAGCGGTGTTTGGTTTTTTGTCCTTGCGATAGTTTGCTGAGAATAATGGTTTCCAGCTTCATCCATGTCCCTACAAAGGACATGAACTCATCATTTTTTATGGCTGCATAGTATTCCATGGTGTATATGTGCCACATTTTCTTAATCCAGTCTATCATTGTCGGACATTTGGGTTGGTTACAAGTCTTTGCTATTGTGAATAGTGCCGCGATACTGCTTTACTTTCATGCTTTCCTGAAAGCTTTCGCAAAGTACAGATTTATGATAATTTTAAGATCATGCCACTAGACTGGGTAAGAATTTCCAAAACTCGAATGAAGAATCTGATGTGTTCATGAAACTGTTACCAGAAAAAGTGGTCTAGATCCAGACACCCAGAGAGGGTTCTTGGATCTTGCACAAGAAGGAATTCAAGGAGAGTCTCAAAGTTCAGTGAAAGAAGCAAGTTTATTCAAAGTTACATCATTGCAGAGTACGGTGTCCTCAGAAAGCAAGTGGAGGAGCACACCATATTTGTTTTAAGTTTTTTGTGTATAGAGGTCTTTCCTATGCAAAGACTAGACTAAGCTGTGCCTACGTACAGGTGAGCAGACAGAATGACAAAATTTATTATTCTGTTGAGTTAAAGAAAACTACACTTGACATTTTAGTGTGTGAGTACATCAAAACATAAGTGTTATTTTCTTGAAAGCATATATTTTTATGGGTATTGGGACATCTGGACTCTCTACTGTTGTAGGAGTGTGTCCTTATAGGTTTAGGCTGTTTCCTCAACTATAAACATCTGAGAACCATGGGTTGTGACTGACAAGGAATGTGCCTTGCTTGTTTAAGATGGAGTTGATTTTAAAATGGTGTTACTCCGGCTCTCTTGGGCTTCTGCCTCTGTAACAAAACTACTAACCCAAGATCAAGCAAACAATAATTAATTACATGGAACTGAATGAACTGAAATATAATTATTATGGTTTTTGTTTTGGAAAATTGATAGTTCTTCCATGTCTTGTTTTCAGATCTAATGAATGACTTTTTTCTTTTCTCTTAAGCTATCTATAGCTTACAGCTATTTGGTAAAGTATGCCATTGTGAACAAAAATGAAACATTTATTTTTTTCTTCCTATCTGATCCCTCCAAAATTTAGAAACTCTTATTAAATATTCATATTTTTATGGCAATATGGTTATTTGCATAAGTTCAATAAGAATCTGTTATCCTTGTAACTGGACATAATTGGAAACATTGGTTACATTAATAAGGCTTTCACTGGAATGTCCAGTTTTAAGGAACTAAGCTTGACTTCATTGAGTCGTTGCTTTCAACAGCCTCTTGGGAAAAACAAGACAAACAGACAAGAAAAGCAACCTGACAGTGGGCTTACAGGATTTCTGACCTTACAGATGAGTAAAAAAGGTTGCTTGCTGGCAGGCCCAGGAAACTTCCAGATACTGGAAATGTTGAGAAGAGAGGAATTCATTGAAATCTATAGGTATTGTGGATGACATCTGATGACAAGCTCCTCTGCTTAACTTCCTAGCCTCAGAGGCCTTTAAATACCTAAGCTGAAATTCCTTATGAAAAGTTTTACCAAAGCAAAGTGAAAAAAGAGCCTATGTGGTCAATTACTAATCTTGTCACTTTTAGGTAAGTAATCAGGCCAAGTTTAATGAGACTATAAGCAAATTAGTCTTACTCTAATTATATTTGACATAAGCTGGGTGACTGTGGAGAGAGAACAATGTTTCCACGAAAAATTATAGGAAACATATATGGATAATAAAATCTAGTCCTGTTCACTGTAAAGTTTTGTTATCTACCTATAAATGGGACTGAATCTTTAATTCTTAATAGTTTTCTCCAATATCTGGTTACAACTCCCCAAATAAATGTTCTTAAATTTTCTCCCTTCTGACTTGGAATTATTGAGAATGAAAACTGCCTTTTTCTTGAGGACCTGCAGGCTGATGCTGGAGGATTTGATACAAACTTAAGAGAAATCTTCACAACATATCATGTATAGACAATCTTCATTCCTTTTGCCATGTGGGCGACTCAGAAAATTCACTGGAACACCCGGTGACATAACCAAAGATATTCAAACTATAAATCAGGAAAATCTATAAAATTGCTACCACTATCTTCACTCCACCATCTTAAAATTATTCAATCTCAGCATCTAGAAATCTTGACTTCCCTCTGCCCTTAACTTGATACAACCATTAACCTTTGTTTTTCTCTTATGGCCATAAATGTACCTCCAATTAAATGACTGATTGCTCACTTCATACAGAGACTTAATTTGGGTGGTTGACTACTCCTATCTATACCACTGCCTCCCAAAATGAGATACAATTGTTTAACTGGATAGAACTGTTCCCAGGGCTGAGAGACTAGTTCAATGGGATGTGGGGCAATCTACCAACTCAGCTTCTGAATTGTGAAGCTTCTTGGGGAAGTTTCAGGTGGATGAATGGTGGGGTTCATGACATGATACCCCATAATATGACAACATAGCATATTTAGTATTTTTAGCTGGAGTCGTTTGAGAAATGGTAGGTGATAGAAGAATTCTCTGTCTTCCCTGAGGCAGGTCATAAGACTTTGACATGAGAGGTGCCTGCCCTGTTCCTGGAGGAAAGGAGTCTCCTTTCTCCAAAGATGGAGGAACTTCAAGAAGAATCTGAAGGCACAGGCTTTGCTGAAGGATAAGTTTCCCCCAATGAACTGCGAGAAAAAAGCTTAGCTTTTTCCATGACTTTTCACTCCTTATCAAACTTAGTGTAAAAACACTCAGATTTAATCATATATTTGGGTCTTAATCTCTTTATTAAAGCTTTCATATCATGACTTTTATATTAAATAAATGTTTATGCTCTCCTCTTGTTAATCTTTCGTTTCAGAGACCTAGTAGAGAACCTAATGGGTTAAAAGGAAAATAATTTTTCCCCTACACCTTCTAAGCTAAAGGTAATTAGAAATAGATTTCTCCACTTCTGTGCAAGAAAAAAAAAATCTTAACATTAAAAATAAACAATCTTGCTTCCATTTCTGAAATGATTCAAATTTTATTAAGCTGTAATTGCGTGGTCTGGTTAAGGTGAAAAAAAATATCTTTAAGATAGTGTATTCAGCAACACAAAATTATTTTTATTAAAATAACATTTCTTTTTGCAATTGATGGGATGATGTAAATGGTTTTAATACAGTGAGAATCTCCTTCAAAATATTTAAATGTTATACATCATGCTAGTTCCTCCAGAAAAAAAAAAATCATTAATCTGGCTGCTAATGAAAACCTCTGAGTTATTCTAAAATTAAACAGCAGAATTATGCTTGCACTTCATTGGATAATATTTAAGTAAATTAGAAAAACATTGTTTAGCAAATTTGAAGGAAATTAGTCAGTAAAGAATATTCCCTTATTGAGTCATACTATACTGTCGTTAAAATTCCATCTTAAATACAACTGCTTTACACCAAATCAGCAAGATCTGCCAGGTTGGTACTTTTTTTTCTCATTTTTCAATCTCTTTTCATTAATCCCAACACTTTTATTTAATTAAAGCTTGACTGTCAACAAATGAGCCTGAAAAATAGTTTTGAAAGACAGATATTAATGGTTTGCATGCTAACAAAGAGCAAAGCTTGAATAGTTTCATATATGCATTCCCAAAGAATATGTAAGTATTTAGACATTGTAGTGAATCAAACTGAAATTGATATTTTTATTAAAATCTCTTTAAAGAGACAAGAGCTGCCCTTGGCCACTAGGTATAAAGTATTTTACCATATTATCTTTTAAAGGAATTGCTTTCAGAACACAATTTATTTTAGCTGTAAGGTACACCACAACAAGAAACATAGAATATTGTCATAACGAAAACATTTCATTGAGGAATTGATGCCCTCAGGCAACACAGAGAATGTTACCATCAGGTTTTGTAAAATAATAAGTATTTGATATGTCTTAAAGGATCCACTATTAAAGTGTTTTTATGAACAACGATATTAGATCTTAATACTCTTATGCTTATTTGTGCTTTTGATTACTCACTTATTAATTCTAATAAAAAAGGTCATAGGGATTGTTAAAATCTAAGAAAAAATTAAGTTAAATATTAGAGAATTTTGTTGAATAATGCATTGTTTGAATAACCGGACTTGTTTTAATTAGCATTTTCCTCTGTATATTTATTTATAACCAGACAAGGGAATAATTTACATGCAAACTATTGAACCATTTTTCCACAAAGTTTAGATAAATAGAGAACACCTTAAATAACCAGAAGTGGACAAATATGATAGCTAGCTTTATGATAAGGACTATATTTTACCTGGAAATACAGGTTAAAATCATAATATGCACCTCCCTTATGTAACATAAATATGTTATGCTATTTTCCCATATGCCATCCACGCAAAGATCTTCTAACGTCATTGAAAATATTAGATCAGAGATACAGAAGGATCCCAGAATCCATTTTAATGCAAATGGGCAAATACTAAATATGTTTTAATGATTATCAGAGTTTGCACAATTCCAAGATTGAATGCACCTTCAGTGCATATAATGTGTGTGCGTGTGTGTAAATATCCTTTTAGCTGAAGTCCTATGAAAAACATGACTTCAGTTAGAAATTGACATTATCAATAGAGCTTTTCAAAGTTTTAAGACAATATCATAAGTAACAAACAAAAGATATCCAACTCATCTATAATCTAACATTTAACTGTTCATATCTAAATTCTAATATTAATGAGCATCTCTTGATCAAAGCAAATCATGTCATAGGACTTATTTTCCAAAAGGAGGACCTCATATGTAACAAGACCAAGCCAGAAACAAAAATACGAATTTAATCTAGTGTTATGTTTGCAAGTTTTCATAACTGGAATCTTACTGAAAGTAAACAATTCTGGTTTAACCTACCTTTTTAGCATTTTTGCCATTATTAAATGGATACTTTATAGTTAAATTGTACCTTTTGCTTTGCAATTTGAGATGCATATTTGATAATATGTATTTAAGGTAACAACAGAAAATAATATTACCCAAGATTGATCCATAATAACAATTCATAATTAATATTTTCTCAAAAAGAACATTAAATAAGTAATAAGCTATATAATTATCATGAAATGCCTATTCCTAATACAAGAACAAAATCGCCATAGTAATTTACTCTTACAAAGATTTTCAAATTTATAATAGCTAATACTCTTCTTAATATTAACAAACCTAAAAAAGTGGAGTGATTTGGATGTTCAAGTACAGGATAAATATAAACATTGATGATTTTAAGAAACACGCTAACTTGATATCCAATCTTTTTTATTAAACATCCAGTTTTTAAAAGTGTGTGAACACACTTATCAATAGAGTTTAACAGAAAAAACTATTTTTAAAATAACTGAGAACACACAGAAAATCATTTAAACATGCTGTTAAAATTCAAAACTACATAGAAGTTGATTTAAAAACAAAAAATTTTTAGAAATTTGAATAATAAAATGCTGCTATTAAAGTTTACAAAAGAAGCTGCATTACATTTCTTTAAAAGCAAATAGAAAGTAATAAATACTCATAAAATGCAAATTATTTATTTTTCCTTTTCTTATTAAAAATTTTCTTATTTTTAATTTTTGTGGGTACATAGTAGGTGTATATATTTGTGGGGTACCTGAGATGTTTTGATACAAGCATTCAACGAGAAATAATCACATGATGGAGATTGGGGTTACCATCCTCTCAAGCATTTATCTTTTGCATTACAAACAATCCAGTTACACTCTTTTAATTATTTTAAAATGTAAAATTAAGTTATTATTGACTATAGTTACCCTGTTGTGCAATCTGTTGATGGATACTTAGGCTGTTTCCAAATCTTAGCTGTGGTGAATAATGCTGCAATAAACATGAGAATTCAGATAGCTCTTTGACATATTGATTTCCTTTCTTTTGGGTATGTGTCCAGCAGTGGGATTGCTAGATTACACGGTAGCTCTATTTTTAGTTTTTTGAGGAACCTCCAAACTCTTCTCCATAGTGATTGTACTAATTTACATTCCCACCAACAGTATATACAAGGGTTTCCTTTCAACACATCCTCACCAGCATTTATTATTGCCTGTCTATTGGATATAAGCCATTTTAACTGGTGTAAAATGATATCTCACTGTAGTTTTGCTTTGCATTTCCCTGATGATCAATGATTTTGAGCACATTTTCATATGTCTGTTTGCCATGTATATGTCTTCTTTTGAAATATGTTTATTTAAATCTTTTGCTGATTTTTTGATTGGATGAATTGATTTTTCATATAGAGTTGTTTGAGCTCCTTATATATTCTGGTTATTAATCCCTTATCTGATGGTTAATTTGCATATATTTTCTCCCATTCTGTAGGTTGTCTCCACCTTTTTGGTTGTTTCTTTTGCTGTGCAGAATCTTTTTAACTTAATGTGATTCCATTTGTTCATTTTTGCTTTGGTTGTTTGAGCCTATGGGGTATTACTCAAGAAATTTTTGCCCAGACCAGTGTCCTGGAGATTTTCCTCAATGTAGTCACATAGTAGTTTTATAGTTTGAAGTCTTAGATTGAAGCCTTTAACCCATTTTGACTTGACTTTTATATGTGGTAAGAGATAGGGGTCTAGTTTCATTCTTTGCATATGGATATCTTGTTTTCCCAGCACCATTTATTGAAGAGACTGTCTTTCCCCAGCACATATTCTTGGCACCTTTGTCAAAAATGAATTCATTGTAGGGGTGTGGGTTTGTTTCTGGGTTCTCTATTCTATTCCATTGGTCTATGTGTCTGTTTTTATGCCAGTACCATGTTGTTTTGTTTATTATAGCTCTGTAGTATAATTTGAAGTCAAGAATGTGATTCCTCCAGTTCTGTTCTTCTTGCTTAGGATGACTGTGGTTATTCTGGGTCTTTTGTGGTTCCACATAAATTTTAGGATTTTTTTTCTATTTCTGTGAAGAATGTCATTGATATTTTGATAAGGATTACACTGAATCTGTAGATTGCTTTTTATAGTATGGACATTTTAACAATATTGATTCTTCAATCCATGATCATATAATATTTTTCAATTTTTTTTGTGTCCTTTTCAATTTCTTTCATCAGTGTTTTATAGTTTTAATTATAGAGAACTTTCACTTGTTTTGTTTAGTTAATTCCTAGGTATTCAATTTTATTTGTGGCTATTATAAATGGAATTTCTTTTTTCTTTTTCAGATTGCTCACTGTTAGCATATAGAAATGCTACTGATTTTTTGTATGTTGATTTTGTAACCTGCAACTTTACTGAATTTATCAGTTCAAATAGTTTTTTTTTTCTGCAGCCTTCATGTTTTTCCAAATATAAGATCATGTTATCTGCAAACAAGGATAATTTGACTTCCATTCCAATTTAGATGCTCTTTATTTCTTTCTTTTGCCTGATTGCTCTAGCTAGGATTTCCTGTACTATATTGAATAACAGTGGTGAAATTAGCATTTTGGTGGGTTCCAGATCTTAGGGGAAAGGCTTTCAGTTTTTTTCCCATTCAGTGTGATACTAGCTGTGGGTCTGTTGTATATGGCTTTTATTATGTTCAACTATGTTACTCATATCTGTAGTTTTTTTAGGGTTTTATCATGAAGGGATGTTGAATTTTACCAAATGTTTTTTCAGCATTACTTGAAATAATCATATGATTTTTATCCTTCATTCTGTTGATATAATGTATGGTATTGATTGATTTGTGTACATTGAATCATCCTTGCATCCCAAGGATAAATTCCACTTTGTCATTATGAGTGTTCTTTTTAATGTATTGTTTAATTTGATTTTGCTGAGGATTTTCGCATCAATATTCATCAGAAATATTGGCCCATAGTATTTTTTTTTTTGATGTGACTTTTTCTCGTTTGGGTATCAGAATAATTCAGGTGTCATAAAATGAGTTTAAAAGTATTCCTTCCTCCTCTATTTTTTGGAAAAGTTTGAGTAGGATTGATAATAGTTCTTCTTTAAATGTTTGGTAGAATTCAGCAGTGAAGCCATCAGGTCCTAGGCTTTCCTTTACTGGGAGAATTTTATTATGGCTTAAATGTAGTTATTTGTTACTGGTCTGTGCAGGTTTTGAATTTCTTCCTGGTTCAATCTTGGTAGGTTGTATGTATCTAGGAATTTGTCCATTGATTCTAGATTATATCGGCATATAGTTGCTCACAGTAGCCACTAATGATCCTTTGAATTTCTGCAGTATCAGTTGTAATGTCTCCTTTTTCATTTCTGATTTTATTTATTTGGATCTTCTCCCTTTTTTCCTGAGTTAGTCTGGTTAAAGGTTTGTCACTTTTGTTTAACTTTAAAAAAAAAAACTTTGGTTTCACCGATCTTTTGAATTTTTTTCTTAATTTTAAATTTATTTACTTCTGCTCTGATCTTTATTTTTTTTTTCTTTTACTAATTTGGGGGTTGATTTGCTCTTGCTTTTTTAGTTCTTTAAGATGCATCACTAAATTATTTATTTGAAGTTTTTCATCTCTTTTGATGTAGGCACTTATAGGTATAAACTTTCTTCTTAATAGTGCTTTTGCTATATACAAATGCAAAATTTTTAAAAATTTAACTGTTAAGAAAGAAGTATATGATTAGCTATATTCAATATATATAACATAAGGATTAACTAGTATATTTCCTGAATTGTATGTAGCAGTATCTATCAAACATGAGGTGAATCGCCTTTGACTCAGATTTAATTTTTGTGTTTATTGTAGAGAAATCATCAAATAATATTAACACAAAATATATTCATTAGAATTATTTTTGCAGAATTATAATTATGCCAGCAAATGGAACTATTCTAAATGTCCATCAATAAGATATTGGTTATAAGTTATAAAGATCTATACAATGAAATATTATGAAGGCATTGAAAAGAATGTGTGTTTATACTCATTGGAAAGAATATATTACTATGGCATATTGTTAACTAAAAAAAAGAATTTTAAAATGGTTATGTAATTGAAACTTATTTACACTATGATGGAGTAATGAGAAATGACTCACTCATTCATCATAAAAGAATCTAGAAAATTGGATAAAAAACCTGACCCTTGAGAGAAGGGAAACAAAAGAGGTGAACCCCATGATTACCTCAGATTTTTGCCTGCAGAAACTTTCCAAAACATGTTGCAAAAGAAAGATTCTAATCCTAGGACAGTAATCTTGCTTATTTGAGAAGATAGAGACAGGATTTTGAAGTGGCTACCTGGGGTTTGAGGAGAAAGAACTGGAAAGGAGGGAACTATAAAGAAAATAAGCTTCAGGAATTTGCATAAGGTTCTTCTTAAATCTATTTAAGCCATGCATGCATAAAATGAAATTCCAAAAGTCAAAGCAATTGATTTGCTATTAAATGAATACCAGAGTTCACACAAGACTGGGTATCATTCAAAGTTTGACGAGCTATATAACAAGAATTCCTTGCTGAACATCAAGCGTATTCAATCAAGAGACCAGAAGGTTGACATATTTTGTGGTCCTGAGTAAAGGCTTCTCCACATCTCCCCTCACAAAGTTTACAAGCAAGTTTTGTAATTATCAAGCTGACACTCAAGTAACTACCTTCGAGATCAAAGTGCAACCTTATTTAAAGAAAGCCAACACAATCCAACACTCAAAAAAACACAAAATTTATACTGGTCAGTATTCAATTAAAAATTACTAAAAATTCTTAAAAGTAGACAACTATGGCCCATTACAGAAGAAAAATCAATCAATCGACAAAAACCAAGAAACAGTAGATATGATAGAACTAGTAGAACATGATTTTAAAGCGTCTGTTAGAAATATGCTTAATATGTTCAAACATTCTAGGAAATCACTAATATGAGAAGAGAAATGTATTATATAAAGAAGAGCCAAATGGGATTTTTGAAAATGGAAAATATGACATTTGAAGGAGGAAAAAAATCACCGCATGGGATAAATAGCAGTTTAGATCCTGTAGACTAAGTAGATTTTAGTGTATAAAATCACTGAAATTTAAAAGCACTGAAATTTAGTAATAGAAAAATACAACATAAAGCAAAGAGAGAGAGAGAAAATGCTCAAAAACAAAGATATAGGCCAAAGGATACAAAGATATAGGTCAAAGGATACAAATTAATGAATAAGTTTAGCAATCTAATGTGCAGCATGAGAGCTATAGTTAATAAAATTGTATTGTATTGGACAAGTAGATAAAGAAACTGTGGTATATATATATACAATGGAATACTACTCAGACATAAAAAGGAATGAATTAATGGCATTTGCAGCAACCTGAATGAGATTGGAGACTACTGTTCTAAGTAATGTAACTCAGGAATGAAAAACCAAACATCATATATTCACATTCATAAGTGGTAGCTAAGCTATGAGGATGCAAAGGCATAAGAAGGACATAGCAGACTTTGGGGACTCAGAGGGAAAGGGTGGGAAGGGGGTGAGGGATAAAATACTACAAATTTGGTGCAGTGTATACTGCTCCGGTGAAGGGTGCACCAAAATCTCACAAATCACCACTAAAGAACTTATTCATGTAACCTAACAACACCTGTTCCCAAATAAACTATGTAAATAAACATTTTTTAAAAACATTGTTGTACTGGAGATTTTTATTAATTAAATACATTTTAGTTGCTCTCATCACAAAAAAGTATGTGAGATGATAGATATGTTAATTTGTTTCACTACAGTAAACACTGTACTATCTATATGTATTCCATAACATCATGATTTACACCTCAAATATTCACAATAAAATGTATTAAATAATAAATATAACAAAAAACTAACAGAGACTGAGTAAATTGTGTAATAATATGAAATGATCTAACATATTTATAATTGGAGTCCTTGATGAAGAGGTGGAAAGACAGATAAAATATTTAAAGAAATAGGGTCTGTATTTCTTTCTAAATTGGATAAAATCTATACAGACAAACATTCTAAGAAGTGGAACACACTATTAGAAAGATAAATACAAGGAAGACTACACTAAAGGCACTCTAATCAAACTGCATAAACCAGTGAAAAAGACAAAATTTTAAAAGCTCCAAGAGAAAAAAAAAAGACATTACTTACAGGAACAGTAATAAGAACAACTAA
Organism: Homo sapiens; assembly: GCF_000001405.40. Lineage (NCBI taxonomy): Eukaryota > Metazoa > Chordata > Mammalia > Primates > Hominidae > Homo > Homo sapiens. The sequence goes on from NC_000005.10 coordinate 163,074,286, forward strand.
CTTCTCATCAGAAATTGTGAAAATCAGAGGACATTGACAGATTTAAAGTTCTGAAACAATACAAAAAAAAAACAGTAAACATAGACTATTATGTTTAAGGAAATTTCCTTCAAAATTAAGATGAAATAAAACCTTTTCAAATAAATGGAATCTATTCTTCAGTATGATAAATGTTAAAAGAAGTTCTTCAAGCAAAAAAAGGCATTAGATACAAATTCGAATCTATACAAAGGAACAGAGTGTCCAAAATAATACATTTTTCTCATTTTTTAGTATTTTTTAAAATCCTCCTTTAAAGCAAGAATTGTAAGCATATAATATTGTAACTTTAACATATAAGAACATATGGCATCAAAGCACAAATGAAGGATCTTTAATGCTACAAGGTTTAATATTATTTGAAGATGGCCTTTGATATGTTTGCGATGTATAAAATTTCATAACAAACAAACAAAATATGTGGTATATCTTATATACCAATAGTGGAGATAAAAATAAAATACAAAAAACTATTAATTAATTCCAAATAGAACAGGAGTGAAAAATATGAACAAAGATCAGATGGGAAGAATAGAGAACGAATAGCAAGAGATATGCATATATAGGTATATATATTATATATATGCATCATAAAAATACTAATCATAAGAAAGCTAGATATTAATACTGACTTGAGAACAAGAAATATTGTCAGGGATAAAGTAGGACATTACATATGATGAAGGTGACAGTTCACTAAGAAGATATAAACATATACATACATATATATATATATATATATATATGTATATACTTACAAACTCAAAATACATTAAACAAAACTACCAAACCTGAAAGAAGTAGGCAAATCCACAATTATAGTTGGAGAGTTGAGGATTTTAACTCTCCTCTCTCAGTAATTGATAGACTGTATAGAGAGAACAGTAGTAAGAATGTAGAATATTTGAACACAGGAAGAAAATTTGACCTCAACAATGATCTCAGAACACACACCAAATTTAACTTGAAACATACAAGTTAGAACTACAAAAATATTAGAAGAAAAATCAGGAAAAATCATTTGATTTTGGGAGATGCAAAAATATTTTCAATAGGAGACAAAAAGCATGAGCCATAAGATAATTTAATAAATTTGACTTTATCAAAATTAGCTAAAAACGATGTTTGCTCTTTAAAAGATAGAATTAAGAAAACGAGAAGTCAAGCCACAGTCTTAGGGTAAATAATCACAATATACACATCTGAGAAAGCACATGTATCCAGAATATATGAAGAATGGTTGCAAGTCAATAGTAAGAAGAAATATTTTTTCAATAGGCAAACTATTTGAAGAGACATTTCACATAAAAAGATATATGAGCCCGGGTGTGGTGGCTCATGCCTGTAATCCTAGCACTTTGGGAGGCCGAGGCGGGCAGATCACGAGGTCAAGAGATTGAGACCATTCTGGCTAATACGGTGAAACCCCACCTCTACTAAAAATACAAAAAGTTAGCTGAGTGTGGTGGCACATGCCTGTAATCCCAGCTATTCGGGAAGCTGAGGCAGGAGAATCGCTTGAACCTGGGAGACAGAGGTTGCAGCAAGCCAAGACCACACCGTTTCACTCCAGCCTGGGCAACAGAGAGAGACTCCATCTCAAAAAAAAAAAAAAAAAAAAAAAAGATATATGAATGGCCAACAAGTATATTTCAAAATGCTCAACATTATTAGTCATCATGGAAATGCAAATTAAAACCACTATGTAACCTCTAAAAGGCTAAAATTTAAAAGTGCTAGCAAGGATGTGGAATAAATGGAACTCTCATACATTGCTAGCAGTTACACAGAATGGCACAAAATGGAAAACAATTTGGCTGTTTCCTTATATATCAACATATATTTACTATACAACAAAGAAATCCCACTCCTAGTTACCTAAATAAGAAAAATTAAACTTATGTCCACAAAAGTCTTGTACCTAAATATTCATAGATACTTTATTTTTGGTAGTCAAAATTTGGAAACAATATTGTCAGGTGAAAACCTAAAAAAATTATGATCTGTTTATAATATAAAATATTACTCACTTTTTGTTGTGTCTCTGCCAGGTTTTGGTATCAGGATGATGCTGGCTTCATAAAATGAGTTAGGGAGGCGTCCCTCCTTTTCAACTGTTTGGAATAGTTTCAGAAGGAATGGTACCAACTCCTTTTTGTACATCTGGTAGAATTCGGCTATGAAACCGTCTGGTCCCGGGCTTTTTTTATTTTTATTTTTGGTACACTTTAATTACTGCCTCAATTTCAGAACTTGTTATTGGTCTATTCAGGGATTCGACTTCTTCCTGGTTTAGTCTTAGGAGGGTCTGTGTCCAGGAATTCATCCATTTCTTCTAGATTTTCTAGTTTATTTGCAAAGAAGTGTTTATAGTATTCTCTGATGGTAGTTTGTATTTCTGTGGTGACATTCTTTTTATCATTTTTCATTATGTCTATTTGATCTTCTCTCTTTCCTTCTTTATTAGTCTAGCTAGCAGTCTATTTTGTTAAGTGTTTCAAAAAAACATTTTCTGGAATCATTGATTTTTTGAAGGGTTTTTCATGTCTCTATCTCCTTCAGTTCTGCTCTGATCTTACTTACGAAATGACAGGCCAATACCCCTGATGAACATCGATGCAAAAATCCTCAATAAAATGCTGGCAAACTGAATACAGCAGCACATCAAAAAGCTTATCCACCACAATCAAGTTGGCTTCATCCCTGGGATGCAAGGCTGGTTCAAGATATGCAAATCAATAAATGTAATTCATCACATAAACAGAACCAATGAAAAAAAACACATGATTATCCGAATAGATGCAGAAAAGGCCTTCAATAAAATTCAACACCACTTCATGTTAAAAACTCTCAATAAAATAGATATTGATGGAACAGATCTCAAAATAATAAGAGCTATTCATGAAAAACCCACAGCCAATATCATACAGAATGAGCAAAAGCTGGAAGCATTCCCTTTGAAAATTGGCACAAAGACAAAGATGCCCTTTCTCACCACTCCTATTCAACATAGTATTGGAAGTTCTGGTCAGGGCAATTATGCAAGAAATACAGGTTGTTCAAATAGGAAGAGAGGAAGTCAAATTGTCTCTGTTTACGGATTAGATAATTCTATATTTAGAAAACCCCATCGTATCAGCCCAAAAACTCCTTAAACTGATGAGCAACTTCAGAAATGTCTCAGGATACAAAATCAATGTGCAAAAATCACAAACATATCTGTACACCAACAATAGACAAGCAGAAAGCCAAATCATGAATGAATTCCCATTCACAATTGCTGCATGGAGAATAAAATACCTAGGAATACAGCTAACGAGAGACATGAAGGATATCTTCAAGGAGAACTACAAATCACTGCTCAAGGAGATAAGACAGAACACAAACAAATGGAAAAACATTCCATCCTCATGGATAGGAAGAATCATTATTATGCAAATAGCAATACTGCCCCAAGTAATTTATAGATTCAATGCTATTCCCATCAAGCTACAATTGACATTCTTCACAGAATTAGAAAACAATACTTAAAATTTCATATGGAACCAAAAAAGAGCCTGGATGGCCAGACAATCCTAAGCAGAAAGAACATAGCTGGAGGAATCATGCTACCTGACTTCAAACTATACTACAAGGCTACAGTAACCAAAACAGCATGGTACTGGTACCAAAACAGATATATAGACCAATGGAACAGAATAGAGACCTCAGAAATAACACCACACATCTACAACCATCTGATCTTCAATAAACCTGACAAAAGAAAGCAATGGGGAAAGCATTCCTTATTTAATAAATCATGCTGGGAAAACTGGCTAGCCATAAGCAGAAAATTGAAACTGGACCCCTTCCTTTCACCTTATACAAAAATTAACTCAAGATGGATTAAAGACTTAAGTGCAAAGCCCAAAACCATAAAAACCCTAGAAGAAAACCTAGGCACTATCATTCAGGACATAGGCATGGGCAAAGATTTCATGATGAAAAAACCAAAAGCAAATGCAACAAAAGCTAAAATTGACAAATGGGATCTAATTAAAGAGCTTCTGCATAGCAAAAGAAACTATCATCAGAGTGAACAGGCAACCTACAGAATGGGAGAAAATTTTTGCAATCTACACATCTGAAGCACTTTTGTCTACAAGAAAAAAACAAACAACCCCATCAAAAAGTGGGCAAAGAATATGAACAGACACTTCTAAAAGAAGACATTTATGTAGCCAACAAACATATGAAGAAAAGCTCGACATCACTGATCATTAGAGAAATGCTGGTCAAAACCACAATGAGATACCATCTCACACCAGTCAGAATGGCAATTATTAAAATTCAAGAAACAATAGATGCTGGTGAGGCTGTGAGGTATTAGGAACGCTTTACACTGTTGGTGGGAATGTAAATTAGTTTAATCATTGTGGAAGACAGTGTGATGATTTCTCAAGGATCCAGAACCAGAAATGCCATTTGACCCAGCAATCCCATTAATGGGCATATACCCAAAGGAATATAATCATTCTACTATAAAGGCGCACACACGCATATGTTTATTTCAGCACTATTTACAACAGCAAATATATGGAACCAACCCAAATGCCCATAAATGATAGACTGGATAAAGAAAGCATGGTACATATACACCATAGAATACTATGCAGCCATAAAAAGGAATGAGATTATGTTCTTTGCAGGGACATGGATAAAGCTGGAAACCATCATCCTCAGAAAACTAACACAGGAACAGAAAACTAAACACCGAATGTTCTCACTCATAAGTGGGAGTTGAGCAATGAGAACACATGGACACAGGGAGGGGAGCAATACACACTGGGACCTGTCGGGTGATGGGGGCCAAGGGGAGGGAGAACATCAGGACAAATAGCTAATATATGCAGGGCTTAAAACCTAGATGACAGGTAGATAGATGCAGCAAACCACTATGGCACACATATACCTATGTAACAAACCTGCACGTTCTGCACATGTATCCCAGAACTTAAAGTAAAATGAAAATAACTAAATAAAATAAAATATTACTCATCACTAAAAATTGAACAATTACTAGTACACAAAACAACATGGGTAAATTCTAAAATCATATGCTGAGCAAAAAAATGAGCACATACAAAATGATAACTTTTATATAAATATGTTAAAGATATAAACTAATCTACCAGAAAGAAGTTCAGTGGCTTCCTGGGTGTGGGAGTGGAGTGGGAATTGACACAAAGAGCATAAGAGAATTTTCAAGGTTATGAAAATGTTCTACATCTTTATTATGGTTGTGATTATATGTATAAGTTTGTATACATTTAGCTAAAATATATGTATACATCAGTCAAAACTTAGAACACTATATATTCAAAATGGCTTCATTTCACCGCATGAATTATAGCTCAGTAAAGCAGAGTTTGTAAGAAACAGATGGGTATGACAATAGTATATGTGTGTGTACATATATGTGGGTATAGCTAGCAACCCATAGGCAGCCGCTAGAGGGCCACACCTAGATTTTGTCACTACAAATCACAGAATCACCCCCAAAAATCTCAATTTTACACATCTTGTTCTATGAAGAATATCTTCTTTCTTTCCATATCATTCCTTCAATATGTCGATTCCAACAATTTTCAACCTGATAAAGACTTAAATACATTGGCTCAACTACCTTTCCACTGGTTGTGATTGTCACCTTCTTTAGGTCCTCATTTCATCCTCAGCCAACTTAGATTCTATAGGCCATTATTATAATAACACCCCAAACACTCTTGCTCCGTCTCTCTCTATGTATAACTCATTCAAAAAAAAAAAAAAAAAAAAAAAAACTCTACCCCTGGCTAGGACCCACTCTCTGCTAGTCCTTACTTGCACTCATGCTATACAATGTGGCTGGAGAAAAACAGAAAAACACAACTAAGCTCAATCCTCTCACTTTAAAGGTATGACCACTATTTCCAGTGGGCCTGACAATGCTCCTGCACTTCACTAATTCATTAGCACTCTCTCTCTCTTCAATCCTCTAATGGTTCCACTTTCTTTTCACTCTGAGCTAATGACTTTTCTTCTTGGAAGCAATAAAAAACACCTTTCTGCTGAGCACAGTGTCATGCACCTATAATTCCAGCTACTTAGGAGGCTAAGGCAGGAGGATCATTTGAGACCAGGAGTTTGAGGCCAGTCTGAGAAACATAGTAAGATCTTGTATCTTAAAAATGAAAAGAAAAGGCAACTTTTCTTTCTTTTGTATTCTTATAACAACAAACTACTCAACTGCCTGCCTCCATGCCAAAATACTGTCCTCCTTTGTTACCATATACAAACCTTCTGTATTCCTACCTGATTCTAACTCATCTACTTATGCACTGGACTCAGCAAGCCTACTGAAATAAATTCCAATTAAGAAAATAATTTTTTTCCTTTACCTATCCACCTCCAACTTCAAAGAAGTTGAGTGCCCTATCTTTACTACACTTTTTACAGCCCAATTTTTCTATCTCCCTTTATTTAAAAATACAAAGTATATATTTCTACTTCCTATTTCTTTTGTGGGCTCATTCTTCTCAGGCTTTCTTCCCCATAAATTCTCTGAAATCATTCTTTCCCCAAGGCCACCAATGACCTCCACATTGCTAAAGCCAACGATCAATTTTTAGTCCTGATCTTCTTTAAACTTTCCATGACACTTGGCATAATTGATCACCTACACCCCTGACTTGACTTCTCCTGACACTTTCTACACTTGGCTTTTGATAGTTATAAACACTCACAGATTTTGTTTTACTCACTGATCATTCCCTCTTGCTTATTTTTGCTGGAACCTCCTCCTCTTTTTGGCTTCAAAATATTAGGCCTCAAGTTAAATCTTCACATCTTTTTTATTTTCTGTTAACATATTCTAAGTAATTTCATCAAGATACATGTTTTTAATGTCGTATTTTTTTATTCTCTAATTTTTTCTTTCCTCTTCAATCTGAATCCCTCTTATGAACCAGACATGCTTATTCTCTGCCTGCTTGACATGCTGAGAGAATTTGCCACTACCAAGCCACGACTACAAGAATTGCTAAAAGGAGCTCTAACTCTTGAAACAAATCCTGGAAACACATCAAAACAGAACCTCTTTAAAGCATAAATCTCAAAGGACCTATAAAACAAAAATACAATTTAAAAAACAAAAATAGAAAACAAAAAACCAAGGTATATAGGCAACAAATAGCATGATCAATGGAATGTTACCTCACATCTTAATACTAACATTGAATGTAAATGGCCTAAATGCTCTACTTAAAAGATACAGACTTGCAGAATGGATAAACACTCACCAACAAACTATCTGCTCCCTTCAAGAGACTCATCTAACACGTAAGGACTCGCATAAACTTAAGGTAAAGGGGTGCAAAAAGACATTTCAGGCAAATGATCACCAAAAGCGAGCAGGAGTAGCTATTCTTATGTCAGACAAAACAAACTTTAAAGAAATGGATGTTAAAAAAGACAAAGAGGGACATTATATAATAATAAAAGGTATTGTCCAGCAGGAAAATGTCACAATCCTAAACATATATGCACCTAAGACTGGAGCTCTCAAATTTATAAAACAATTACTAATAGACCTAAGAAATGAGATAAACAGCAACACAATAATAGTGGGGGAATCTTACTGCTCCACTGACAGCACTAGACAGGTCATTAAGACAGAAAGTCAACAAAGAAACAATTGATTTAATCGATAGCCTGGAACAAATGGACTTAACAGATATATACAGAACATTCCATCGAACAACTGCAGAATATACATTCTATTGAATAGCGCATGGAACTTTCTCCAAGATAGACTATATGGTAGGCCACAAAATGAGCCTCAACAAATTTAAGAAAATTGAAATTATATCAAGCACTCTCTCATACCACAGTGGAATAAAACTGGAAATCAATTCCAAAAGAAACCTTCAAAACCATGCAAATAGATGGTAATTAAACAACCTGCTCCTGAATGATCATTGAATCAAAAATGAAATTAAGATGGATATTAAAAAATTCTTCAAACTGAATGACAATAGTGACAAAATGTATCAAAACCTCTGAGTCACACCAAAGGCAGTGCTAAGAGGAAAGTTCGTAGCCCTAAACACCTCCATCAAAAAGTCTGACAGAGCACAAACAGACAATCTAAGGTCACACCTCAAGGAACTAGAGAAACAAGAACAAATTAAACCTGAACCTAGCAGAAAAAAGGAAAAAACGAAGATCAGAGCAGAACTAAATGAAATTTAAACAAAAATATACAAAAGATAAATGAAAGAAAAAGCTGGTTCTTTGAAATGATAAATAAAATTAACAGACCATTAGCAAGATTAATCAAGAAAAGAAGAGAGAAAAATCCATATAAGCTCAGTAAGAAACAAAACGAGAGATTTTACAACTGACCCCACAGAAATACAAGAGATCATTCAAGGATACTATAAAAACCTTTATGTGCATAAACTAGATAACCTAGAAGAGATAAATTCCTGGAAAGATACAACCCTCCTAGCTTAAATCACGAAGAATTAGATACCCTAAGCAAACCAATAACAAGCTGCGAGATTGAAATGGTAATTAAAAATTACCAACAAAGAAAGACCAGTACCAGACGGATTCACAGCAGAATTCTACCAGACATTCAAGGAATTGGTACCAATCCTATTGACACTACTCTACAAGATAGAGAAAGAGGGAACCCTCCTTAAATCATTCTATGAAGGCAGTATCATCCTAACACCAAAACTAGGAAAGACATAATCAAAAAAGAAACTACAGACCAATATCCCTGATGAACATAAACACTAAAATCTTTAACAAAATACTAGCTAACTGAATCCAACAATATATCAAAAAGATAACCCACCATAATCAAGTGGGTTTCATACTAGGGGTGCAGGGATGGTTTAACATATGCAAGTCAATATATGTGATACACCACATAAACAGAATTAAAAACAAAAATCACATGATTATCTCAATAGATGCAGAAAAAGCATTGCTGGACAAAATCCAGCACTACTTTATGATTAAAACTCTCAGCAAAATCAGCATACAAAGGACATACCTCAATATGATAAAAGCCGTCTATGACAAATTCACAGCCAACATGTTACGGAATGGGGAAAAGTTGAAAGTTCCCTCTGAGAACTGGAACAAGATATGGATGCCCATTCTCACCACTACTCTTCAACACAGTACTGAAAGTCCTAGTCAGAGCAATCAGACAAGTGAAATAAATAAAGGGCATCCAAATCGGTAAAGAGGAAGTCAAACTGTCGCTGTTTGCTGATGCTATAATCGTTTACCTAGCAAATCCTTAAGACTCTTACAGAAAGCTCTTAGAACTGATAAAAGAATTCAGCAAAGTTTCCGGATACAAAATTAACGTACACAAATCAGTAGCTTTTCTATACACCAACAGTAACCAAGCTGAGAATCAAATCAAGAACTCAACCCCTTTTACAATAGCTGCAAAAAATAAAATAAAATACTTAGAAATATACCTAACTGAAGAGGTGAAAGACTTCTACAAGGAAAACTACAAAACACTGCTGAAAGACATCGTAGATGACACAAACAAATGGAAACACATCCCATGCTCATGGATGGGTAGAATCAATATTGTGAAAATGACCATACTGCCAAAAGCAATCTATAAATTCCATGCAATTCCTGTCAAAATACCACCATCACTTTTCACAGAATTAGAAAAAAACAATTATAAAATTCATATGGAACCACAAAAGAGCCCATATAGCCAAAGCAAGACTAAGCAAAAAGAACAAATCTGGAGGCATCACATTACCTGATTTCAAACTATACCATAAGGCCATAGTCATCAAAACAGCATGGTACTGGTATAAAAGATAGGCACATAGACCAATGGAACAGAATAAAGAACCCAGCAATAAACCCAAATTCTTAAAGCCAACTTATCTTCAATAAAGCAAACAAAAGCATAAAGTGGGGAAAGGACACCCTTTTCCAAAATGGTGCTGGGATAGCTATGTGCATTGGCTAGCCACATGCAGGAGAATGAAACTGGATCCTCATCTCTCACCTTATACAAAAATCAACTCAAGATGGATAAAGGACTTAAATCTAAGATGTAAAACTATAAAAATCCTAAAAGATAACATTGGAGAAACCCTTCTAGACATTGGCTTAGGCAAGGATTTCATGATCAAGAACCCAAAAACAAATGCAATGAAAACAAAGATAAATTGCTGGGACTTAGTTAAACTAAAGAGTTTTGCATGGCAGAAGGAATAGTCAACACAGTAAAAAGATAACCCACAGAGTGGGAAAAAATCTTCAAAATCTATACATCTGAAAAAGGACTAATATCCAGAATCTACAATGAACTCAAACAAATCAACAAGAAAAAAACAAAAATCCCATCAAAAAGTGGGCTAAGGACATAAATAGATAATTCTCAAAAGAAGATGTACAAATGGCCAACAAACATATGAAAAAATGCTCAACATCACTAATAATCAGGGAAATGCAAATCAAAACCACAATGTGATACCATCTTACTCCTGCAAGAATGGCCATAATCACAAAATCAAAAAACAGTAAATGTTGGCGTGTATGCACTGAACAAGGAACACTGCTACATTGCTGGTGGGAATGTAAACTAGTACAACCACTATGGAAAACAGTGTGGAGATTCCTTAAAGAACTAAAAGTAGAACCACCATTTGATCCAGCAATCCCACTACTGGGTATCTACCCAGAGGAAAACAAGTTATTACACAAAAAGGATACTTGCACATGCATGCTCATAGCACCACAATTCACAATTGCAAAATCATGGAACCAACCCAAATGCCCATCAATCAACGAGTGGATAAAGAAACTGTGGTATATATATGTGTGTATATATATATATATATATATATATATATATATATATATATGATGGAATACTACTCAGCCATAAAAAGGAATGAGTTAATGGCATTCACAGTGACCTGGATGAGATTGGAGACTATTATTCTAAGCGAAGTAACTGTGAAACAGAAAACCAAACATCATATGTTCTCACTCATAAGTGGGAGGTAAGCTATGAGGCTGCAAAGGCCTAAGAATGACATAATAGACTTTGGGGACTCAGGGGGAAAGGGCGGGAAGGGAATGAGGGATAAAAGACTACAAATACTGTGCATTATACATTGCTCACAAATCACTAGTAAAGAACTTACTAATGTAACCAAACATCACCTCTTCCCCAATAAACTATTGAAATACAAAGTAATAAAAATAAAATAGCATCATGAACACCCCCTCCTCATGTTCCTTTCCCCACACCCTGTTTTATTTCTTTTTATAGAATTTCTCAGTATGTGATTTTTTACGTATATATACATAAATACCTCTTTATTGTCTGATTCTCTTCCTGTATTATTTGCTCCTTGAGGTCAAAGACCTCATAGCCTTATTTCACTAATATATTCCCAACACCCAGTACCTGGCACAAGGTAGGAAAGCAGTAACATTTATTAAAGAAACTGAAGGACTAAATAAATAAGCCAATGAATGAATTAATGATAGCATGGAAGATTATTCAACAAAATGTTTTATGGATATAACCAGCTGATGAGATCATGGATAATAACATTCTTCTATGTACATTTTTCTACTTATGCTTAATATCACTTGCAATATCTACACATATATGCATATTCTTTAGAATAAAAGAATATTTTCAATGTTTTGTTTATATATTTGAGGGTTTGAAACAACTTAAGAGCAACATTAGGATAATATTACTTCAAAGAAGCTTGTGAAGGAGGTATTGGGCAGAGAAATCCCACTGAAAAATTACCTTAAATGTTCACTGCAGTGAGATAAAAGCTTTAGATACCAGAAAAATGAAGAGTGTAAATAATTAACTATTAGGAAAATAAATATGTTTGTCTTTTTTTTTTTTTTTGAGACAGAGTTTCGCTCTTGTCACCCACACTGGAGTGCAATGGCGTGATCTCGGCTCACTGCAACATCCACCTTCCTGGTTCAAGTGATTCTCCTGCCTCAGCCTACTAAGTAGCTGGGATTTCAGGCGCCTGCCACCATGCCCAGCTAATTTTTGTATTTTTAGTAGAGATGGGGTTTCAACATTTTGGCCAGCCTGGTCTCGAACTGCTGACCCTGGTGATCCACCGGACTCGGCCTCCCCAAGTGCTGGGATTACAGGCATGAGCCACCATGCCTGGCCAGATATTTGTCTTTTTAAAAAATATATCAAAATGAGAGGTCAAGCTGGTCCTACCCAAAGTTCTTTACATTCTTTAAATGTAGGGGAAGGGGCCCTTCCTGAACATGCTACATAAAACCAGTAACATACCTCCCCAAAAAAGTAGCTCTTCTCCTCCTACCCCTTTACATTCTTTAAATGTAAAGAACCCCAAACCTTAGCATCATGCAATGTACCCTTGTAACAAACCTGCACATATATCCCCTGAATTTAAAATAAAAGTTGAAGTAGATAAATCCACATAAAGAACAAACTTTTTATGGCCTTAATTGCCTGAACCTAAATTTCATTCAGAATTCAGAGTTCTGCGCATGATACAATAAAGGAACATTCAGATGTGATTTCCCCTGCAAAGTATATACAGAGATTCCAAATAGTAAGTTATAGCTCTTCCTCACATGATGCTCACTAATTTACACACAAAGACATTCTGCATGTTCGTGCTATTCTATAATCTTACTCACAAGGGAGATTTCCATTTGGAAAAAAAAAGTAAATTATGAAAATTTTCCTCAGTGTCAGTATATGTAATTTCTATGGTAAATATAAAAATTACAGGATATTCAGTTATAATTCCCACCCAATTTATTCAATAATTAAGTATTGAGTGAGTCTTATATGCTAACAACTATGCTAGATCATGAATTGTCTGAGTATGAAAATAAATGTTAACAGGTTTCTAGCCTTCAAAGACCCATGGCCTTTCTCCCATTAAGAAAAGAACCTAGGTGGGAATTGAACAATGAGAACACATGGACACAGGAAGGGGAACATCACACACCAGCGCCTGTTGTGGGGTGGGGGGAGGGAAGAGGGATAGCATTAGGAGATATACCTAATGTTAAATGAAGAGTTAATGGGTGCAGCACACCAACATGGCACATGTATACATATGTAACAAACCTGCACGTTGTGCACATGTACCCTAAAACTTAAAGTACAGTTAAAAAAAAAAGAACTATTTGTCTTGAAGTTATGTAATGTAGGAGTTAAACCACAGAAAAGCACAAGCTTTGACATCAGACCAAGTAGATCAAAATTCTAACTCACTCTTTTTCTTTTTCTTTTCTTTTTTTTTTTTTTTTTTTTTAGAGACAGGTTTCACTCTGTTGCCCAGGCTGGAGTACAGTGATGTGATCATAGCTCCTTGCAGCCTCAAACTCCTGGGCTCAAGCAATCCTTCCACTTCAGCCTCTTGAGTAGCTAGAATTACAGGTGCACATCATGATGCCCACCTAAGTTTTAAATATTTAAAACTTTTTTGTAGATGGAGTCTTATTATGTTCCCCAGGTTACTCTTGAACTCCTGGCCTCAAGCAATCCTGTTGCCTAGGCTTCCCAAAGTGCTGGGATTACAGGTGTGAGTCAGCACACCCAGTCCTAACTCACTCTTATAATACATATATGCTATTCCATTGTATGGATGTAGCAGTATTTATCCAACCAGTCCCCTATCGATATAGTATGCATTCAGTGTTTTCTGTAATGAGGTGACATAAGACAGTGTTGCAACAAACACCCCTGCACATAGAGCCTTATGTTCTGATGTGTTTATTTACACAGAAATTAAAAGCAATAGCCTCCAGATTGCTGCAATAGTCTAACTAGTGTGCCTGTTCTGTCCTTGTTCTTTTATCATGCACATAAAAATTAAAACTTAGACTGTGTCAGTCTTCTGCCCCAATCCATCAGTGGTCTGTCAGTTCTCTTAGAGCAAAAGACAAAGTCCTTCGATGACCTGTGTCTTTCTGTGAATTGCTCATCTTCACCCTCGGTATCATTTTGACCCCATCTCCTACCACTCCCCACCACAGTCGCTTCACTCCAGACACACTGGCCTCAGCACTATTCCCTGAATCCAACACGACGCAAGCCCTCACCTTAGAATTTCTTGCATTTGCTTGTTCCCTCTACTTGGAGCTGCCTTTGCTTAGGTATCTGCATGCCCCACTCTCTCACATTCTTCAGGTCTCCACTCAAATGTCACCTTCTCAGCGGCGCCCTTCCTGAACATGCTAAATAAAACCAGTAACATACCTCCCCAAAAGAAGTAGCTCTTCTCTTTCTACCTCACCTTATTTTGTTCAAAGCATTAATTACATCTGACATACTTTGGATTGACTTGTTTATTTGTTTATTTTCTGTTTCCAGTCCTACTCCAAATAAGAGTACCACCCACAGGGGTAAGGACTTACTTTTTCTACTGCCATATCTCTGGTAACTAAAATTGTGCCTGGCACATACTAAGTGCTCACTTGATTTTTATTAAATGAATTGATAAAGGAATTAAAGAGCCTTAAAGCTTGGCTAGATGCTACCAGATTAATCTCCCCAAAATGTTGCTGCAATCAATATTTTTCTGCAAGATGTAAGAATGATTGTAACTACTTCCCCATACTTTTACCAACTCTAGACATTATCGATCTTTTTATTATTTATGTATGTACTTATTGTCTAAAGGATAGTTGCAGCTTTTATCAAATAAATGTGAAACTCTAATGTGTAACCAAACATACGTATTTAATTTACTTCTATATGCTCCTAAGTGACACACTGCAAGAATGCAAACAGAAACAATGCAGATAACTGAAGTTCTGAGCTAGGTTTTTAGCTCCAACAATTAAAATGCAAATCAAATACCTCTTCAAGGAGACCTGTCTAAGGAAGCAATCTCTCAGTTTCAAGGAAGTATCTTTCAGCCAGCACCATCCTTCTGTGAAATAAGCAGCTTCTTTGGCAAGTCTGAAAGAAAGAATGGGGAAAATGAGAGGATCACTCATTATAACTGCCCTCCTGGAGTTCTTTCAAGAATATGCTTCCATGACAGATAAAGGGAATTCAGAGGCTAAGAGGCACTCTGTTAAGATTTACAGGCAGCTCTGGCATAGATCCAGATGCAAGATAAATAACAAATGTGCACGGGAAAAGAAGGATGTGACAGAGTGAGAATATCCTTCATATGACATGAAAGGTAGTGATTCTGGGGATGCAAACTCAGCCTGTTGAATAGTCCTTGAAAATGGCATTTTAAAAGAACATCGAGCAGTTGGAAGACCTATGGGGAAATTGACAGAATCCAGAACTAGACAGTCATGTTGGAGTATTGTGAGGCATGGATTTTTCTTTAAAAAAGTCTCAGTGTTAAAAGATAATTTCCATTTGTAGTATAGAAATTACAAAGTCGGGTCATTTTTGGATAATTCTGAGTTAATAAAATGAGAGCATAAACCAAAATTAACACTAAATTCACTCATTTTTTATTTTCAAGTTATTCTTTTCTCTTATATTTAACAGGGTTTTGGGAAGGAAGACAGGTACCTTTCCAAATTGCAAACTACAGATGTCCTACAAAACCCTGAAATATTCAGGCCTACTTCAGAAATTAGCCAAATTCCCCATTTTGGAGATAAAACTTAAGTTGGAGGTAGAGCCAATAAAAAGATAAAATATTGCCAGACTACAGAAAATTCAGATGATTTCAATGATGTTGCCAACAGATGGCAAATGCAGGGCAGTGGAAGATAATGCCAAAATAATTACCTCTCAAGCCAGAAGCCAAACTAGGGAGTCTACTCTGAGAAATAATCATTCTACTCACTGCTCAGGGAAAGGACAGGCACACACACAAATATTAGGAGGAAAATAATCAAATCTATCGAAATAAAGGAAGAGTACTGAGATTAAATTATTCTATCAAAGGAAATGGAAAAAGAGAAAGAATAGTTTAGATATGCCTCTTAAGAATAACATTGTATGAAAGTAATTCAATAATAATAATGTTTGCCTTTTTAAAGCCATATGTGCTAGACCTTCTGTCAAATGCTTTTATAAGTATTTTCTCATTCAACTCAGGATAATGCTGTGAGCTTGATTTTATTATTACTCAGATTTTACTGGGGGATAAAGAAGTTAAGTTCTCTTTCCAAGGTCACATAACTTGTAAGTGGTGGAGCCAGGATCCACTACTAGACATTTTGACTACAGAGACTACACTCTTCGATATTACACTGTGTATAAGGTCAAATTTTACAGGTAAACAGCTAAAAAGCAGCTTAACTTTCTATCTGAACCCAACTATATAAGCCTGGTACATGACAATGTTACTCTGTTCACCTGAGACTCAAAGACTCATTGATCCAAACATTTAATTGGCACTTACTGTATCACAAATGTCATATGAGGCACTAGGGAGAAGATAATTTCAGCTCAGGAAGAGTATATTGTGTAGTGGGTGGCATTAGGCCATTCTTGCATTGCTATAAAGAAATACCTGAGACTAGGTAATCTATAAGAAAGAAGTTTAACTGGCTCACAGTTCTGCAGGCTGTACAGGAAACATAATGCCAGCATCTGCTTCTGAGGAGGCCTCAGGAATCTTTTACTCATGGTGAAAGGCAAGGCAGAAGCAGGAAGTTCACATGGTGAAAGCAGGAGCAAGAGAGAAAGAGTGAGGAAGAGGAACCACACACTTTTAAATGACAGGCTCTTGCAAGAACTCACTATCATGAAGACAGCATCAAGCCATAAGGGATCTGCCTGCAGTATCCAAACACCTCCCACCAGGCCCCATCTCCAGCATTAGGGATTCCAATTCAACATGAGATTTGGGTGGGGACAAAAATCCAAACTATATCAGTGGAGAATAAGATAGATATGTTAACAAATAATCATAATGCAATGCAAGAAATGGCATGCTAGCAGATACATTCATGGGAAGGTGGGAAGAAAGAAAGGGATGAGAAGTAACTGAAAGAAATAAAACAGAATATCCAAAGACATTAAGTTGGCATTCATAAAAAAATTCAAATATGGAATGCAGATTGTGACAAAAGAACATAACTATTAAAAATGCATGAAAAAATGCATGGAATAACTTTGCTGAAGAGTGTGCTCATCTAAGTAACTTTGGAAAGGAGTGAAGACTGTAAGACTAAATACAAAGGAACCTAACATAAGCACTATACTCTCCTTGATAAAGTTGTTTTCCCTGGGGATATAGTTAACAGGTATTTTAAAACTACATGTGTATATTGTAATTTTACAATAAAGTAAATGGATGATGGATGATGAGAGCAAGATTTCTCACTATTGGAGTGGTAGATAACAGACAAGCAAAGGGACAAGACAAGAAAAATCCATGTGGTAATGTTTACAGTTGGGAACATCAGTATGAACTCCTGTCTAGCTTAATACAGATGCAGATGGAAATGTTTAGGGATGTGCTTGTGTGTGTGTTTATGCACAACTTAGCATACACACATGTATTTTCTTGTTCTGTCAACTATAACGGTCTACAAGAGACAATACACTAGTAGCAACACCTAAAGCCCAGATCTTGGTTTCTGATACCTTTCTCCAATAAAGGAACCAAATATCTTTAGAGAAATATCTGATTCTAGGACTGCGGCAGTAAATGTACAAGATGAGTCTGGAGCATGTTATATTCAAGAATAAAAAGAAAGAAATCCACATGGATAGGTTTATAACAAAATAATGGCACATGAGCTAACTGCAAGAGCTCCTAATGGCCAAAGCAGGAAGAGTAATGATAAAATTATTTTCGATTATAACCTAAAATATAAAATAAATATCCATTAACCCATATTAATATAAATAGCTAATTAAATAAATAGATGAGAGAGAACTAATAAGTTTCTCATGCTGAAGAATTCCAAATAATTTACAAAGATACCCCATTCTCAAGGAGGAGAAATAGAACTCTATAATAGAGAAACCTGACAAACACTACTTCAGCCAGATAATCAAGGTTAATATCAACAGTGGTTGCATATGTTGATTAGTATGTGCCCCTGCTATGACATGATAATAATGACACTTTGCTTCTGTGGTCTCCCTCCCAAATTCCCATAACACCAGTATAATCATAAGCAAATTACAATATAAATCACTACTGAAAAATGTTCTACAAAATGCATGAACAGCATTCCTTCAAAACCATCAAAGTCAACAAAATCAAGCAAAGTCTGAGAAGCTGTCCCAACTAGGAGGAGCCTAAGGAAACAGGGCTATGTGAAATGTAGTATCATAGATAGAATCCTAGAACAGAAAAAAGACATTAGGCAAAAACTAAGAAAATATGAGGAAAATGTGAACTTTAGTTGATAATAATGTGTCAGTGTTGGCTCATTAATTGTAATAAGTATATCATGCTAATGTAAGATATTAATAATAGGTAAAATCAGGTGTGGGGTATCTATCTGCACAACTTTTGTATAAATCTAAAACTATTTTATATTTAAAAGTTTATTAAAATCAAAGATCCATCACAAAAATTAAAAAGAATTCAAAGAATGTGGAAAAGAAAATTAAATATTTTTACATTTATGAGATTTTATAAAAAGAAAAATAGCATTCGTTGAATATGTATCTCCAAATATTAAGAAAGTAAGTACCCTAGAAACATATATACATGAGAAAGATGAACATTTATCCTCAATATACAAAAAATTCAAAGAATAGAGCAACTTTTTAGCAAATTCTGAGAGGTAGAAGAACTTCTGGGGAAAAAAAAGGCTTAAGCAAAGAGTTGCGGGATAAACTAATCTGAACTTCCTGAAGTGGATAGAATTTGTATTACTGAAGGATAAGATTGTCTCCTTGAATGGCTCTCTCTCTGTCAATTTCTAGAAGTCTCTTTCTTGTTTTTCTTATCAAAACATTAAAAAAGATGAGCCTGAAATGAACTACCAACAACTGAATTAACTATGGTCAATTTTCACAGTAGTTGAACATAATAGGATCATGGAATCTCAGAGCAGGTAAAATCACCAGGGTCAACCCCTCATTGTGAGGAAACTGAGACCCAGAGAGATAAGGTGTCTTGTCCTACAAAATAGGTATAACTGGTGACTCATTTGACACTAGAGCCAAGTTTTCTTTAACTGCAGGACCATGCTTTTACCCATGTATGACACCAGTGATGGAAAATAACTGCTACATGTTACTTCTTGCAGCCATTCCTTACTTCCTTACCTTTCTCTCTTTCTCTCTCTCTCCAATGTTTGTCTATCACAATACATTTTCTAACAGAGCAGATAGAGAGGTTAAAATGCCCTCTACCCTATGCATCCCATAGTCTAGATAATGAATAAACTTATATTCCATCCTTAAAGACAAAATGTTGTACTAGTATAAAGCAGCTATGCCCTAAGGTGACAAGTTAATCCTGGAACCAAAGCACACCACCTCACACCAACATGCTTCAGACCATAATAAACTCAGAAACTTCATTAAACTAATGTTTGCTTATTAAGCTGGAACCAATTAAAAGTAATCAGACAAAAAAGAGTGATCCATTTCTTCTAATACATTAATTCAATTTGGATGAAAATAAGCTATACCTCAAATTAATCACTTCAATGGGAGTTGGTTAAAATGGCTAGGTTTTCTAGCCCATCAATTTTAAAACTAAAATGAAGAAAAACACAAAAGCAGTTTAATTTCAATAAAAGTACAGCTTTGAACCTCAAAATAATCAGATATTGAGCAGACGCAGCTATTTTTCCAACTTATATTCTAATTAGTTTTCTCTGGTCTAAAACTGATAACGCACCCTATAAACTTGCAAATTTAGTAATTATCTGTAAAAATCTTTTTCTTTAAATAGCTTGGGAGTTGTCTGCTGGGACTAAAAATATATGCAACCGATACAGAAATGTTTAAAAGTGAAAAATTTGCCTGTCTGAAATGTACTTAGAAATATGAAAAATCTGTGCTTAAATAAGTTGCTTCAAAATTGCCTCATTTCAAATTTATTAAACTTTCAAAATCTCAAAGACAAAAGAAAAATGTCAGCAGTTGATGGTAAGCAAGCATAAACTTTATATTGTTATAATGTTTCACAAACCACAAAATTTGAATTTCAGAGCAGAAAAAAATCTTTGCAACCACCTAACCCCAATTTTCACATTTGTGCAACGTATCCACAGAGTTTAAGTAATTTTCTAGGAGGCACACAAGTAGTTGGGATTAGATCCCAAGGGTTTTGCCTGTTGGTGCAACGCTTGCCACCTTTTTCATAATAACATGCAGCCCCCTCAGTTTCTTGTCTTCATAGATGAGTGGCTGCCATTCCTTATATAGTATGAAACCTTCATTCTCGTATTCTCATGTGTGTTTTCTTGGTTTCACTTCACCCTAAAAGTCGACACTATTTACTTTGGGATCTTTATTTCTTCAAGGAGAAAAATACGTGACTATTTGCTCTATAGCTTGAATCAATAGGTCTAAAATATAATAAACCTTTTTCTTTTCCTCTCAGCATCAGGTGACAGTAAGTAAAGTATATTTTGCAGACACAGGATAAACAAAAGAAAATATGACAGTGAATGCTAATTAAAAAATAATCATGTTAAGTACAGCGCCCTCGATGACAACACATTTGGCTTGCTGGTTAATTCTAGGTGCCAGAGTGAGACTTTTTGACTTCAAAGCCTTCTTCTTCCACTGTTCAGCTGTGTGACCGGAAGTTACACCCTATTTTTATAGTTGAAAATAGATAGGTAGATAACATAGAAAGAGATAGAGTCATAAAATCAGAGCAAGGAAGTTCAGTAAAGTCCCTGGTGTTTCCCACAAGGACTGCCTTAATGCTTCTTTTAGAAATACCAAATAACAAATTATTTCATTATCTTTTATCACTCTCGGCTTTACCAAACATTTTTGGCTTGCCTATTATGCAAGCCAGGGCTACTAACACAGTTCCTTAATATTTCTAAGTCCCAGGTCTCCTCATCTATAATGCTTACTCACAGAATTTAATGAGACAGTAAATAGTCTGCTGTAAGTTGTCTGTTGAGATTTGGAAGCCTTTTCACCCTTTTCTGTACTTTCCCTTTTACAGCAAAGACTAGAAGCTTAAGAGCTGGATTTCCCAGGCTCCTTTATGGACAGGATTCTGGATACAGATTAGGTTCTACCAATTTTGGTGAGTTTGTAAGACAGAAGGTGGCCGAAGCATATTTCTCTTCCTCTGGCAGTGACAAGCAGTCGTTTGACCTTCTCTCCTTGAGTCACCTTCCTTGATGCTACACATTTTATAAATTTTCTCAACATGAGAAAAAGCAGCAATTTCCTGATCCTCTAAAAATCTACAGCAAATAGAAAACAAGTGACAGCCTTTCCTGACCTTCACTCTTGGAGACCATCCAGTGGTTTTCTAAGCACCTAATCCCCTGTATTAAATTCCTTTCTTCTCAAAATAGTTAGGGTGGTATCTGTTTCCTGACTGACCTCACTGATAAACACATAATGTATCCATCACAGCACCTTGCTCTCATAGGCACTCAATAAAGGATTGCTTGAAAACAGCAGCAGGAGTAGCAACGCCAACAGTATTAGTAGAGGCAGTAAACTCAGTCTCCACTTTCTCTAACAAAACAAGAATAGCGGACTATCCAAATTAGGGAAAATTCTGGATTATGGCTCTCATAAGAGAAATATTACATTAGTATTTAGAATTAGATATAGTAGTTTAATTCAGCTATCATGTTATTTTGTAGAACTATGTTTGGGTTTGCAAGTATTGTTTGTGCATTTTATGTTCATGTGATTTGGAGAAATGATTTTTAAGCAAAAAAAAAAACAGCATATCTGTGTTCAAATCTCACTCAGCCACTTACTAACTGTGATTTAGCACAAGTCAACTTTCTATGCATTGTTTTCCAACACAAAATAAAATCGCTGAAACAAATGCTCATAGAGGGTCTGCTCAGCTGTTTAATGCTGTGCTTTTAGAACTAAGTATGTGAAGGCTTTTAAGGTCCTTGAAAACTAATGCCGGAAGTGATTTAAATATTCCCCTGAAACCATATGTATGTGATTAATTTTCCTAAGGAAGAAAACATTTGCATATCAAAAGGTATTTTTCATTTTAATATAGCCTAGCTCCTGTCCCAATTACTATCAAATTTTTATTAATAAAATAATGTTGTCTCATTTCAACCAATTTACAGTCAAGAGAAAAGAGACAGACCTGAAAAGTATCCATTTATTCCATTCATTCCAAGGATATCTCAGAGGGCAATAATATACTGGTCTTTTCAATCATCAAAAACCATACAAACAGTAGCTTCTGGCAAAAAATAAAATAAAATAAATACATTTATAAGGCGGGGACAGATAGAGAGAGAGGGACACAAAGACACAGAGAGAGAGAGATGAAGAAAAAGACAGAGAAAAAGACAGAGGGAGGTAATATGAAAATATTTTGAAAAGTGCAAAGCACTGAATGAATGTAAATATAAGAGGTTTCAACCACCTATCTGAAGAAATCACCAATCAATGAAATCCATTTCTTTATTCTGCTAGAAAATTTAAGTTCTCTAACGCAGTCCAGCATATATTGATTAGAGCATAAATTCTGGGTAAGAGCAGACATGGAGTTGAATTTCAGATTCAGTAATTACTAGCTGTTTGATTGTAAACAATTTAATTTTCATGAGCTTCAGCTTCATATTAGTAAAAGGAAAACAATAATAGTAATCGCATAGAATTGTTTGAATTAACTAACAAGATTCATGTACAAACATGGATAACACCTATTAAGGTATTTACTATATAGCAAATGCTCCTTACGTGTTAGTTACTCACAGAAATCACTCCTCCAACCAACCTGCTGTTTCATTTCATGAACTATCTTTTGCTATCCCACTGGTATCTTTTTTTTGGCAATTTTATTATTATAAGCCTAGCTCTAAAGAATTAAACTGATTTCAGTTTTCACCACTCTGGACCTGTGAAGAGATGCTAGAAGGAAAAAAAATTGAATTCAGAAAGTAAATTCAACTTATTAAGTTGAAACCAAAATAGAATTATAAAGGAAAAGTTTGGTTTTGGTTTCAATTGGTGATTAGGAATACTCTATTCTGTCACAACTCAATCTTTTCATCTATTTTTGTTTTCAGCAGGTTCTGGGCCATCCAGTTCTAATCTCCTTTATAAGAACGTACTTTCAGCTGGAAAAATACCAACATGTGAACTGCTCAGATTACCTTTAGTGACACACAGAATTTCTCAAATCTAAAGGAAAGGGTCAAAAGATGCAAATCCAAGGGGCCTTGGAAAAATATTTTTAATATACCAATAAATTGGTGCTTTGTCAGTCAGATTTCTCCAAATGTGGTCCATGGCCCATCGTGGGCTGCCACAATCTCCACGGTGGGCCATGGTCTTTTCCAACTCAATGGAGTTGGAACAAATATTTACTAAGCATAGTATGTGCCAGAAACTATTCGATACTCAAGATACAGTGATAAATAAAACAGAAAAAGTCCTTGATCTATTGGACTTATATTCTAGTATCTAGAGACAGACACATAAAAATTAATAAGTAATATATTATCTGGCAAATGATACAAGTGCCTTAGAGAAAAATAAACAGGAAAGGGGAATAGAAATACCATGATAGGAAGAGAGGCTCAATTTTAAATAGTGTGTTCAGTGGAAGCTTCAGCAAGATGATAACATTTGAGAAAAGACCTAAAACAGACGAGTAGCAAGTCTTTTGCATATCTGGGGAAAGAGTATGGTAGGCAGAAAGAGGATCAAGGCAAAAACATTGGGGTGAAAAAGTACATGCAGGCCATGTGGCCAATCTTTTCTTATTAAACTATCTTTTACATTGAATGAGCCATGGGATATGTCAACCTTCCCAAAATGAACTCCTTTCAAAAACCTGGAAAATCTTCAGATGTACTTTTGTAAGACGAGCCCTGGACAGTGGACACCCAGGAAAATTATTCAGAATGACAATATGATGCAATTTTTTAAGTCTAAATGAATATCACATCCAGCTATTGTGGTCACTGCTACTTAAATGTAGAAAATAGAACCCCTCTGAGTAAAGACTAAAGAATAGCAATCATGCAATATGGCACTCATTCAACAGTTAGTGAAATATTTATAAGCATGCACTATGTTTCATGTATTATTTTTGTATTATCAAAAATACAAATAAGAAGATTGCATTTACTAGCATCTTGGTCTTGGCTACATAACAAGGACATGTACACATAGTCATGTGATAAAACAATTCAAGCACATGGAATCAACCTTCCACACCGCCAAGCACCATCACCAACATTCTGGAGAAAATTTTCTTTGGAGTCTTACACTACAGATATGGTCATCTCCATTCACAAACAATCAGGAGATTACCTATTTAATATTATTCACAAGTACTAGATAGCATCAATTCTGAAAATAGATACAGACAGATTAGATTATTCTTTTTTAACGGAGGTGAGTTTCCCATGAAGCAAAGCAAGAAATAAAGAGGTATTTTGCAGGAAAAAATTTCCAATTATTCTTTGGCTGGACACTTCTTTGGATTTTGTGGATGAGGAAAAGAGAATACACAATTCCCCCTGATTATCTGTTCCTATAATGAAAATCTGTTGCATTTGCCCAAAATCCATTCTCCCTTTCTCTTGGAGAATCATCCCCTCCTCCTTTCTGAGTCAGACCATTTTGATTGAGAATTACAGCTCCAGGGGTGAGCAAGTGATCCAAACTAAGACACAGTACTCCTTGTCCCCTTGCAGGGCCAGCTTCATTGGGGAATGTGTGAGCCATGTAAATATATAGGACCCTGCAGTCGGAAGGGTCTCACAATTGGCTTAATGTGTTACAGCCTCTGTCTCAAAATAGGTAATAATTTTGTTTCTGAACTTGTGTTTTTTAAGGAAAATCCAATGGGACAATAAGGTTTCCATGTGAGCAGAGTAAATATGCACAATGTCCATCACTCCATGCTACCCCATTCACTCATAACATTTGCATGTAGCATTCACATGGCCCCATGAATACAGAATTTCAGTACATTAGAGTTCAGTGATATTCAAAGCAGGAAGGTATCATTTGCATCTAAAACTGAATAATTGAGGGCCCTGAAAGCCACATTTTTCTTTTGAGCCAGAATTTCCTTCAATAGGAAAAGAAGGCAATTGCATTCTAAGAAACACGGGTGACCAGAGAACCCTATCATATTCATTTTTTCCAGTGTAACATTCCTGTATTATACAACCACTTAGCTGATAATGACGACATTCTAGAAGGAAAGGAAAAAACGGGGCAACTCAGAATTCCTTTTTCTTTTGGTCCTTCCTTACTCATCAATGAGTGGGACCTAGAGAATATTGACAGAATGAGGACATATCAAGAAGTGAAGTTAGTATGATGCAGCATCTCTACATTTCTGGTAAGAACAAAATCCATATGCATGAGAAAGTTTATACAACATAAATTTTGTAATTTTGACGAATTTGTATATGAATTAAATGTCATTTAAAACTGGCATTGCATATATAAAGACAAATGGTAAGGTCTATGCTAATCATTTAAAATTTAAATTTTCTTTACTTAGAATGACATTAAACAGCAAATAAAAAACACCATGACAAGTTGAATGTGAGCATGGAAGAAAGAAACTTCATATTTAATCACCTTTAACAGCACTCTTTTCTTACTTTTTGAACAAGAAACTTCACACTTTCGTTAGTCACTAAGCCCCACAAATTGTGTAGCTAGGCCTTCTTCCTGGCCACCGCAATTGGTTCAGAATGGGCATATGAATTAATCAAGGCCAATGAGAGTTAAGATCATGGAGTTTTTGGGGTTTTGCCTTTTTATTAAAAAAAAAAAACAAAAAACTTTTATTTTGGTTTTCTTTCCCCTGGAGCAAAGAAATATAGAATGTCTCTTTCCACTGAAAGCGATTAGGAATACAACCCTGGAGCTCCTAATGGTCATCTTACTGCTGAATAATGAAAATGCCAGAGAAAAAAAATGACCCCAGAGGTAGAAAAAGATTCCTCACGGTATCATCTGAGCATCTGAGCCCAGCCATGCCTGCTCCTCCTATGTTTCTATTTTGTTCGGACTAGTTGAGATCAATTCCCCTTTTGCTCAAGCTAGTTGGAACCAAGTTTCTATTATTTACAATCAAAATATTCTTGCTATTAGTATTCCCTTGACACACACCTTTGATGTGCTCCTGCTCCTTTGCCTGTGGAATAAAGGCAGTCCTTATGAATTTAGCATTTACTCCAGGCTCCTACCCGACTTTCCACTTTTTCCTTCCATTATGCAAGCCGCACACTTGTGTTCTGGCTGGCCACCCCCCTCTGCTCCTGGTTGTGCCTTCCTACTTGTGCTTTACTTTTACTATTTCCGTCTACACCTAGAGACCATGTGACCTCACTTACTGCCTCATAATGCTGCATCACATCTTTCAATACCCACCTGCAATGTTCTTTCTCTAGAATGATCTCCCTGTTTGTCCTCAAAACCATGTTCTTTCCATTTCTTTAAACATTGTTATTTCAAATATACACTTGTGTAATAATAATTATCTATACCCCTCACTAAATTGTACATATTTCAAAGGTATCCGAATTTTCTACAGTGTCTAGCGCAGATACTGGTACATACTTCTTGTTCAATAAGTACTAGTTGAATTGAATTAAGTGGAGGACTGAAAAACAACTGAGAAGAAAATTCAAAACACTCAGGAGGGTAGGAAGAATCAGAAACCTTGATGAACTCCGGCAGTGATCTCTTAAGTAGGCTATTTTGTGTCATTCTTAATGTTATTTTTGCCTGAGGGAAGACACAATAAATAACATTTTAAAAAACCAGATAATCTATTCCTGCTTAATGCTTAGGATAAAATGGACAGTTCAGTTCATCAAGGAGACAAACTCTACCAGCTTCGGCTCTGAGTCTCTCAAGTTGCAGTTATCATCTTTTAG
This sequence comes from Homo sapiens, assembly GCF_000001405.40. NCBI lineage: Eukaryota > Metazoa > Chordata > Mammalia > Primates > Hominidae > Homo > Homo sapiens. The sequence goes on from NC_000005.10 coordinate 163,101,376, forward strand.
GCCAAAAGTAGCACTTCGAAATAGAAAGTCTCATATCATATACTAAACTGTTTTAGGTTCAATAGAAGCATAAATTCAAAAAGGTCAAAGTCACACTTTTTTTTTTACATTTTTATGGGTACATAGTAGGTATATAATTTTCATCCATCCCTTCCTCCCTTCTACTCCTAAAATACAGAAAGTATTCAATAAACACTAGTTGAAAGTTTTTTCTTGCCTTTTTTTTTTCAGACGGAGTCTCGCTCTGTCACCCAGGCTGGAGTGCGATGGCGTGATCTCGGCTCACTGCAACCTCCACCTCAAGGGTTCCAGCGATTCTCCTGCCTCAGCCTCCCGAGTAGCTGGGATAACAGGCACCCACCACCTCGCCCAGCTAATTTTTGCAATTTTAGTAGAGACAAGGGTTCACCATGTTGGTAAGGCTGGTCTTGAACTCCTGACCTCAGGTGATCCACCCACCTCGACCTCCCAAAGTGCTGGGATTACAGGCATGAGCCACTGCATCCAGCCTAGTTGAAAGTTTTTAACTAAAAAACTTTTAGTTATTATCAAAATCTCGTCCTGAAATATTTCTTTCACAATTTTTATTTTCGTGCTCTAATGTAAGTGGTACCTTGAAAAATAGAATACAACGTGATTAGTGCCACTAGAATAGTACCCCTGACATTCTGCGATGCTCTAGCTCCTTCTTAGTTTGGGTTTCTCCATAAACAAACTCTGAGACAATGATGTGGGTGCAAGAGGTTTTGCAGGGAGGTGATGCCAGGAAGTACGGTGAAGAAGTAGAAAAGTGAGAGAGCAGAGGAGGGGATGTGTTAGTAAGGGGTGAATAAATGAGCAAGTTGTTGCTGTAGGCAATTGGGTGTCAATGCTACTGACGACCCTCTGAGAGTCTTTGTGCAACACACCCTGAGATTCCCATCCCTCACTGGCTGAACATCACTCCAGGGGAAATTAACTCTACAGCACCTCCACGTGTTCCTTGGCAGCCATGCTCTTGCAGCTAGATAATACCACTAGGCAAAGAGACACAGAAGCCATGTGTGATTGTCCTAGGATAGGCTGAGGGGATATGACTGACTGCATTTGCTACAGGTCCTGATAAGCGTAATATGACATACTCCTGAAGCATCAATATTTTATCTATTGTGCATCTGCTGTGTGCTAGACATTGTTCTAGATGTAACAGGTATAAAATTGAAAATAACGGATGGAAATCTCTTCCATTATGAAACTTGTACACCATTAGAAAAGACAGATATTAACTCATATATTATACAAATATATGAAGCATGTTTTATGAAGTTCAATGCATATAATGATAACTTGATCTTGTCTGAGAAGTTAAGGATGGGTTCATAGAGAAAATGAGATTTGAGATGAGGAAAGAAAGGTAAATAAGACTGCACTATGAGACACTGAATACATTTAAAAATGCAAATATGGCTGAAGTGCAGAGATAAAGGACAAAGAGGAGCAGCAGGTCAGGCTAGAAAGGCCAGCAGAGGCCAGATTATTTGGCACCCTGAGGGATATGTTAAAAACTATAGTTTCAAAATAGGAACAATGGAAAGTCACTGAAGGATTTTAAGAGAGAATATTATGTGGCAAGAAAACTGTTTTGAAAGACTTCTTTGCCTATCCCTTGTAGGAATTGGTTTAGAAAAGTGCAGAGTAGGTGTGAGAAGTACACTTTAGAGAACATAAGTGATAAAAATTGTGTGGATAAAAATTGTGGCTTAAGCTAGATAGTCACAAAGTAGATGAACTGATATAAAAATGGCATGACATGATGATAAATTAGACATGGAAGAAGAAGTATCCATGAAGATACTTCCATTTCTACCTCTGGCTTCCGCTCACTGGACCCCCATAAAGGCAGACACTGTCTTGTTCTCTGCTGTACTGTAGTAACTCATATAGTGCCTGGATTACAGAGCAGGCCTATATTTTTGATAAATATTAGGGAAGGAACAGATTTGGTGAGGGAAGTACCTTTGAGAGTACCATACCATTGAGACCTCCAAGTGGCAATACTGAGTAAGCATTTGGAATAGAGAGTCTGCAGCTCGCAGGGGGTCTGGTCTGGAGATTTAAATCTGGAATAGTCACATATACTTGATAATTGAAATCCAGGTCATATTTGTTATTGCCTGGTGAGAGAATTTAGTATAAGAAGAAACGCTTGAGGAACTTGATTGTCCACAAATTAAACCTAATATATAACTGCAAATAAATTTCTCCTTTGAAAGCTATGTAAATATTTATAAGTTATTCTTATATAAATATGTTGGGAAGACAATAGTTTTGGTGTTGTTTTTGCTTTGTTTTATTTTTTTACCTCATCTTGATTTCTCAGTCTCTTAGAGATAATTTTGTTTTTCTCTCAGACATAATTTTCATCCAGACACAAACACACAACTGGTTCTCACATTTTAAAAGTCTCTGATAAATCTTAACACAGTTTGAACTATTATAAAAAAAGAAAAATATTCTACTATTTCAAATCACTCCCTTAGCTTCTAAATTTTCTAAAATGCAGAGCTAATTACTTAGTGGGATATAATGGCAAATAAAATTAAATGGAAAGAGGCACAGAATTGTCAATAGAAAGAATCCCAGAATCAAAACAACTGCTTACTTGTCGGTTGATAAAGTGAAGAGCAGAAAACCTGTTTGTAAAGGTTGTTCTTTTTTTTTCCTTTAGCAGAAAGAGAACATATGCATGTAATGAATAGTCTATATTTTATATCTAACAATACCACACATATACAGGAAAGCACTTAATCTCTGAGATCCTATAACCATATGTCAACTAGAAAAACAGTGGCTAAATGTATTTACAGCATTGACAACAAAGCCAAATAAATGGAAACTTCGGGACATTCTTACTTCAAAGCTTACTTCAGTTTAAATTTTCCCTGAATATTTGTTTAAGCTCCATAAGGTTAAGGGAAAAAATATATATAAATGAGATAAAGTGATATCCTCCAAGTCATAAAGAGCAGATAGGAGATTTAGATAAGGGCATGTCTTAGACCAGGGCTGTCTTCATCAGGCTACATTTTCATTTTTCCCTCCTTGCGAGTTCTTCTATTAAAATGAATCTCTGCCCTATCATGTAGATTAACCCAAGGGTCATCATTCTAAAAATGCAAGAGAAGTGAAATATGAGGTGTGTATTTGAATTTTACTGAGTCATCACCATCTGCTTATAAATGAATTAGAAAACCAATAAAAAATAGGCTCACATAGTTACACCCACAATGAATCTGTCCATTAGGGGATAATCAGCCGTGAGTTACTTAGGGTGGTTTTACCGCTGGGTGGCGTACTGCCCACCTCCGAGTAGCATGTAACTGGCTCTTCCTCTGCTTCCGGGATTATATACATGAAATGTCAAGAATCAGACTTACTTAATTTTAGGTTTTGAAAATATGAATGAGGAAAATACAGTTTCTGAAATCTGACATATAAGTAAAATGAGATGTATGAAGGACTTGCCTCTAGGGAACAAAAATTTAGTAGTAAATCATTCCTACATTTGATTAGATTCTGTGTATTACATCTTCTAGAATTTTGTAATCAATGTAGAAGTTCCCCCACATGGAAAGCTCCAGTCTCTATCTCTCCCCCGAGTTCCAGACTCACATCAACTTCATAGTCACTTCTCCACTAGGTTATTCCATAGAAATCTCCAAAACCCAATTCCAGACTGCTATCTTCTCCCTCCGTATCTGTCCCTCCTTTAGCTTTCCCTATGACATTAAGTTGCCTTCCAGGCACCCAGCTTCTTAAACCAGAAACATAAGAACCAGTGCATTCCTTCACACAGCACATAAAATTTATCAGCAAATCTATTGTTGCCATATGAAAAATATTCATAGAGTCCATACATTCTTCTCCAACTCTGCTGCCACTACCTTTGTGAAAGCCACTATCAATTCTCTTCTGCATAACTGCATTATCTCCCTGCCTAACTTCCCTGCTTCTAAACTCACACCATACCCAAATTAATAGTAGCCACAGTGATCATACAAAAATATAAATCTGATCACATCATTTCCCAATTAAAATTCTTTATTATTTTGCTGTGAACCTAAAACTATTCTAGAAAATAAAGTATATTGATAAAAAATAAAAGCTTTCACTAGCATTCAAATGAATTTCAAATAAAACTTAAACCTCTTTTTATGGTCAAAGGTGAGGCTCTGCAAGACTGGGCTCCGCCTACTTGGCCCACGTACTCCCCATCAGCACTCTACAGTATACTCACTGCTACTGAGTCACAGAGCTGAGTCAGAAGCTGCTCAGATGCTCCAGATCTTTCCCACTTTAGGATTTCTGCATGTGCTGAACTGTTTGCCTGGAATTTTCTTTCTCTTTTCTCTGCTTATCCCTTATTGTTCCTTTTAATCTTTCTGGGCCCAATCTAAATGCCATCTTCTCCAAGAGTCCTTCCAGAGTCACCCAATCTAAAGAGAAACATCCTCTCCTCACACCCTTATTCTCCACCCAACACCTGGTAACTCGTTCTTTCTTTTTTTCTCTTAGACAAATAGAAAGTGTATATATGTATCATGTACAACATGTTCTTTTGAAATATATATACTTTGTGGAATGGCTAAATCTAGCTAATTAACGAATTCATTATCTCTTACATGCTTTATCTCTGGCAACATTTAATTAGATGTTGTGCACCCTGTTTAGTTACTTATTCCTTGTTTTTCCCACAAGATTGTGAGCTTTGTGAGGGCTAGGCTTTGTTTACTAACTAATGTATAACAAGCAGCCACTACAGTGTAAGCATTCAATAAATACTTGCTGAATAAATGAGTGACACCATAAAGTGGTAAGCACTTCCCCTTGGGGCATCATTACATAATCTTCAAATATGAGCCTGGCTGACAACCTACTGAATTCAAAACCCACTGCGAGTAAGAAACTAAAACAAAAACCACAACCTGAAATTTTTTGCTGCAGAAGATGATTTTTTTCTCTCATTTGAAACATGCTGACCATAGAGTGTCCTATTGATGCCTCCAATTTCAAAACTCTTCTTAGATCTTGAGTTTTTGTTCTTAATCTTTCCCCAATTTAAAATGAGTGTTTTGGTCAGCATTAAGGCATATACCATGTTGACTTCAGCACAGTGAAATGAAAATGTAAGACTTTTATTTCCAGAAAGTTAATTATTTTGGATGTCATGAGAAGCTGAAGTCTCAAACATTTCTAATCTTTCTCAATCAGCATTTCCCAAAATTTTTTTCTAAGGAAAACAGTTGTTCCAAGAAGTGCTAACATATTATGCAATAATGCACGTATACACATCTATGTAACTACCTACTTGCATAAGGTTTTGTATAGTCAAAAATATAGGAAATACTGAATTAAACAAAGATAAACAGGTCTATAATTGTCTTCTCAGACAGCCTTTATTAATACAGGCATACCTCTGAGATATTGCAAGTTCAGTTCCGGCTATCACAATACAGCAAGTCACACAAACTTTTTGTTTTCCCAGTGCATATAAAAGTTATGTTTACACTGTACTGTAGAATATTAAGTATAGAGTAGCATATCTACAAAACAATGTATGTAACTTAACTTAAAAATACTTTATTGCTAAAAAAAATGTTAATCATCTGAGCCTTCAGTGAGTGTAATCTTTTTGCGGGTGGATGGTCTGACCTCAGTGTTGATGGCTGCTGAGGTAGTAGTCATCAGTTGATAACTGATCAGGTAGTAGGTGCTAAAGTTCGGAGGGGCAGTGGCAATTTTTAAAAATAAGACAGTAATACAATTTGGCACATTGATTGACTCTTCCTTTAATGCAAAATTTCTCTCTGTCCCATGTGATGCTGTTTGACAGCATTTTACCTGTAGTGGAGCTTGTTTCAAAACCGACGCCAAGTCTCTCAAATGCTGCTGATGCTTTATCAACTCAGTTTATGTAATATTCTAAATATTTTGTTGTCATTTCAATAGTGTTCACAGCATCTTCACCAGGAATAGATTTCTTCTCAAGAAACCGCTTTCTTTGCTCATCCACAAGAAGAAACTCCTCATCAGTTCACATTTTATCATGAGATTGCAGCAATTCAGTAGCATCTTCAGACTCCACTTCTAATTCTAGTTCCTTTGCCATTTCCACCACATCTGCAGTTACTTCTTCCACTGAAGTCCTGAACCCCTCAAAGCCATTTTTGAAAGTTGGAATTAGCTTCTTCTAAACTCCTATTTGACCTCCTCTCATGAATCCTAAATGTTCTTAATGACATCTGGAATGATGAGTCCTTTCCAGAAGATTTTCAATTTACTTTGCCCATCAGAGGAATCACTATATGGCAGCCATAGCTGTACAAATTGTATTTCTTAAATAATAAGACTTGAAAGCCAAAATTATTCCTTGCTCCATAGGCTGCAGAATAGATGTGTGTTAGCAGGCATGAAAACAACATTAAACTTCTTGTATATCTCCATTAGAGCTCATGGGCGACCAGGTGCATTGTCAATGGTCAGTAATAATTTGAAAAAAAATCTTTTCTTTTCTGAGCAGTAGGCCCCAATTATGGGTTCAAAATACTTAGTAGACCATGTTGTTAACAGACGTGCTAACATCCAGGCTTTGTTGCTTCATTTATAGAGCACAGGCAGAGTAGAGTTGGCATGATTATTAAGGGCTATTGGATTTTTAGAGGGGTAAATGAGCGTTGGCTTCAACTTAAATTCACTAGCTGCATTAGCCCCTAACAAAAGAGTAAGTTTGTTCTTTGAAACTTTGAAGCTGGGCACTGACTTCTCCTTTCTAACTATGAAAATTCTACATGTTATCTTCTTCCCATATGAGGTTGTTTTATCTGTATCGAAAATATATTATTTAGTGTACACACCTTCATCAATTATCTTACCTAGATTTTCTGGATAACTTGCTGCAGCTTCTACATCAGCCTTTACTGCTTTACCTTGCACTTTTATGTTATACAGAAGGCTTCTTTTCTTATACCTCATGAACTAACCTCTGCTAGCTTCCAACATTTCTTCTGCATTTTCTTACCTCTCTCAGCCTTCATAGAGTTTAAGAGTTAGAACTTTGCTCTGGATTAGGCCTTGGGTTAAGGGAATGTTATGGCTGGTTTGATCTTACATACAGACCATGAAAACTTTTGTCATATCAGCAATAAGGCTGTTTTCTCTTCTTAGCGTTCAACTGTTCACTGGAGTAGTCCTTTTAATTTCCTTCAGTAACTCTTCCTTTGCAGTCACAACTTGGTTAACCATTTGGTGCAAGAGGTCTAGCTTCCAGCCTGTCTGAGCATCACACATGACTTCTTCACTAAGCTTAATCATTAAGTTTTTGAATTAAAGTGAGAGACATCTTTCTTTCACTTGAACACCTAGAGGCCATTGTAGGGTTATTAACTGACATAATTTCAATATCGTTCTGTCTCAGGGAATAGGGAGACCCACGGCAAGGGAGAGAGATGGGGCCGGCCTGTTGGTAGAGCAGCCAGAACACGCACATTTATTAAGTTAGCCATCTTCTATGGGCAGGGTTCATACCCATCACCTCAAATACTTCACATTACTCTATTGTGAGAACACTTAAAATCTATTTTTAAGCTATTTGAAATATATAATACATCATCATTAACTATAGTCACCACAGCCTATTCCTCCTATCTAAATGGAGATGTTGGTCAGGGCTATAATTTTTATTAAAGCTAAGACTTGAAATGGAATTATGAAAATAGAATATATATCACTGAGAAATGAGATATTTATTAATTATCTAATGAGGTAACTCAAATTGAATTTTGAATACTAAGAGCAATAAAAGGGCAAATGATGAAATAACATCATCAAGAACTCATCAGCTTCAAACTCATTTATCATTGCCCACCTACCATCATTTCAGTCACTTGACATTATACCCAAGAATCATTAACACATTACTGAAACACTTGCTTTGCTTTAAAGTGTTGTATAATTTACTGTAAGTGGCATGCTAAACTTTTCCATCCTTATACACTTTGATACTAATGATGTTTTGAATACTTACAGTTTACTAATGGCTAAAATACATTATAAAGAGTTTACTGCTTAATTACCTATTTTAATTCATAGCAGAGCTTAAGCAGTAGGCAAAAATAAATTGCAATAAAATTTTATAGATAAGCTAAATTGAGTTTCTGGTGAGTATAAATGTTCTCTTCTCTTGAAATAAACTCAGAAAATAAAATAATCAATAATTTAAGGTATTTTTACCTTCTGCTATATGCACAACTATTTTATAAATAACGGTTTTATGTTCTAGTTTTAATGAAGAATTATGAAAAGCATATTCTAATAACCTATGAACTGATACATATCTAAAATAATCTATGACCATACAATTATTCGGATTAAGGTATAATGAAAAGCACATATTATTTGGGGTCCAAAAAACATGGACTCTGTCACTGATATATTTATTCAACACATTTTATTGAGCTTATACTATATGCCAGTCACTTTTGAGGTACTCGGGATACTGTAGAGAGCAAGACAAAATATTTACCCTTATGGGACTTACATTCTAGGAATGAAGACAGGCAAACAACTAAGCACAGAGTAAAGCAATCCATGTTATAAAAAAATGATACGAATCTATAATAAAAAGGGAGGAGTGATGGAGAGAGGGGACCAATGTGATAAAGTAGGCAGGGAAGTACTCTTCAGGGAGAAAGCATTTGAGAAGAAACTTGAATGAAGGTAGGAAAGTGAGCCATTTTAAGACCTAATAAAAGAGTATTCCCAGAAAAGGGAGCCAAAGGTACTTTTTCCCAGAAAAGCACCTATGTCCTCAAGAGGAATAAGCTTGGCAGGTCTAAGGAGCATGAGAAAGTCATTGTGACCAGACTGAGCATTGTACAAGATGAGGTAGGCAGATAGCTTGTCTGTGGTAAGGGTTGTGGGTGTTACTGAGCGTGATAAGAAGACCCTAGAAGTTTGAGTGTGTTTCATTCTAGGACTTAGGTTTTCAAATGTTCAGTCTAGCTGCTGAATGGAGAACCAACAGTAGTTAGGCAGAATGAACAGGGAGATTTTAGTAGCTTAGTAATAGTCTTCCAAGTGAGACACGAAGGTGCCACTTACGAACACATGAACAAGTTACTCAGCCTATCTGGCCTCAGTTTCCTCACCTACAGGCTGTGAGTTGTAAATGAGTTCTCATTACATGCAACTTAAATTCTGCATTAAAGGTTAAACAAACTTCAGTGGCTGACTACAAGATTCTGTATCTAAAATCAACATTGAATTGAAATTCAACCCTGGGCAAAACTGAAGTGGTCTTTCACAGAATTTATTTCATATGTACTGTATAAATTTTGGAAGAAGCACTATAAAAATAGCATTAAAAAGTGACAGCAACTCTAACATGTAAAAATAACAATTCTGAATATGTTGCTGTTTTTCTCCCTGAGGATGTACTTTTGTAAACCTGTTTTTTTTTCAAAGAACCATTTATCATCCTTCAAAGCATTAAATGTCCTTCAAAAAACATAAATTTTTACTTGTTTGCAGGCCTATATAATTATAAACAATGCTTTGATAATGCTTGTGTGTAAATCCCTGCATGCCTAGCTGGTTATTTCCATAGTAAATATTCTTGAGAGTAGAATGTTTGAGGCAGTCGAAAAAAAATAATACATATATATATATACATTTAATGCATTTAACATCATTGCCAAATTTATTTCCAGAAACTTATTCCAATAACCCTTTTAACATGTGCCTGACAAAAATATTTTTGACCTTTCCATGGCTTTTCTGAGACCTTTAAAGCCCTCTTTTTTACATCTTATAGTTTCTATCTCTGCCTGTTTTTCTTGGGAAGTGTCCATGCTCCAGACTTTTCTTCAGATCTAACACTGCACAAGTCTACACACTCAAAACCTCCCTAGGTGTGGAGTCATAGCTGACAATATTGATTCCCTGCATAACTGCCTTTCTCACCCTTCTCCCTAGCCAATAGCGACACTAGCTTGTTTAGGTATCAGATTGCCAGCAATACATCGTATTTAAGGCAAGGAGGTACCTCTTCCAATCCCGGGAATGGGGCAATAAATATTTATATTTGTAATTCATTGATGGGAAAAGGTCATTCTTCTATTTTCTAATTCCATTGTCTTTCCAACGAATTAATGGCATGCGAATGATATTAAACCAATCAAACATAAGAAGAAACATGCTGGGGGCTTCTGGAACAGCAATCCATGCTTCCCAGACAATAGAAAAGAAGTAATTCTCTAACTGCTCTGGCCACTGTCCTGCTTCATACTTTTGAATGGAAATGTGATAGACGGAAATTTAGTAGCCATTGTGTAGCTGCTACACATTTAGTTACTACATTTCAAGATAAAAACAAGCACGTCAAGGGTGGCAGAACAAAAGGATCAAAAGTGCCTGGCTTCTTGATGACATCACTCAGACACTGAACAAATTGTTCACCTAAATGCTTCTTATTATGTGAGATAATTCAATGTTTTATTGTTTAAAGCCACTGTTTTAATTTTTTTCATTACTTGCTGTTGAATATATCCTATTCAATAAACGAGGATATCTAATCAATCTCTCTACAAGTAGACATTCATTTGTTTCCTGAGCCACCACCATTAATTTGAATGTCAGTGGGGTTCATTTAGTCTGAACTGGGGGCTTCAATATCGTAACTCAGGATAACAGTTACATAGTATGGTGTTCATGAGAATTTGCCTGCAGAACTCAATGACAGGAAGCTTAACTGGCCAGAGACTCAGCTGCTATACTCTGAAACCCTTGTCTGCATTTGTGCTGAGGCCAATGACTGAACACGGCAGGGATTTTAAGGCAGGCCCATCCCTGGGAAACAGGAGACTCCCCTGACAGCCAACTTTAATATGAAGATTCCCAATGGCATTGCCACACCTTCCCCACAATCTTCTTTTGCTGTCATCTTCAATGAGGATCAGACTTGAGTTGCAACCTGATGGTTCTCCCACCTTCCCCAGATCCCACTCCATTTCTCTCAAAGGTGTTTCTCCTAGTAAAAACTTTGCATGTTAAATCCAATCTCAGAGGACTTAGACTAACATGCATGGTATAAATATCAACTACTAACCCTTTACCTGTACCTTTTCCACTGAGCCCAGATTTGACTTCTGAATAATTCTCAATCCAGTATTTCATTGCAACCACTATTAATAAGTAGTGGTTTTCATGCTAGATGAAACCTTTATACCATATCTGTCTTACCCTAAAGGAGTATTTACTGTTCACGTGCCAAGAGTTGTGTCATACTGGAAAGGGAAAAAAATAAAGCTATGATATCTTAGGCACTTCTCACATAGCTCCTTTATATACTTCCAAAGAGTCCCAGGCCTAATATATTCATTAGAAACTCAGAATGACAGTAAAGGTTTTAGTCAACAGGTTTTTTGTTTGTTTGTTTGTTTGGCTGTCTAGCTTTTCATTTCCTCTTCCAAACTGCACTCAGTTTGTTAAGGGGTTAGATTACTGGATAAAATCTGGTGAGATTATCGAGAGACCTGGCTTCCCTTAGAGCAAATAGATAATTCTTCCCTTCAACTGAATTTTGAGAAAGGGAAAAGATACTGAAAATGGTCGAAATTTTAGTCCTTCTTACTAGTGGCATCATGATGTCAAAGAAAAGTTACACTTGGACAAGTTAAACAGGCAAGGAAGATTTTATTCAAAACTGTCACCATAGCAGAGAGAGATTGAACTTAACCTTACTTTAACAAATGCCTGAGAATTTTTAAGCACTGAGTGAGCCAGTAGATACTGCTGGAGGACTTTAGGTGGGAGATTGGCCAATGTAATTAGTCCATCTGTGTTTGCTAATTGTCTCTTATTGAAGTTAAGCTCCTACTCTCCCACGGAGACTGGGAGTTAGGAGGCTGTCTTTTTTTTTTAGTTATATTTCAAAGGGACAGCTCCCAGGTCCTTTAGAAAGACATCCCTGGGTTCCAAAACTGGCAGGAGGCTGGAAAAAGATTTACATCTTAAAGGGGCAGAATTTATAGTTGCAAGTTTTTAAAAGTAAATACTCTAAGAAAAGGAACCTCAAAGGTATATAGTCAGGAAGAACCTGTCTAAATCTTAGTCAAGCTGAAGGGAACATTAAGGCTATCCTGCTCAATAAACATGCTGTTTCTCCTTCTGAGTTTCACTAATCACTCCTGTTTTGAAGACCTGTGCTAAAGAATTAAGTGAGCCTCTGATAACCTTTCAGCAAATTCTCTTTTGCCCTAAACAGCCAAAGTCAGGTTCTGTTGTTTGCAACCAATGTCCCCCTGATAAATCAAGATTGCAGTCCTTATTTCACTTTGTTTTGAAAATTAGGAAATAAAACTACATTTCCCATTGAGAGTAAAATAAACCAGATATAGTAGGAAGGCTATACGTGGGCCTGGAGACCAGAGCTCTGGATTCTAGTTTTAGTTTAGTCACCATGTGTTTGAGCTCTGAGGCTCATTTATCTCAACATGACAAATGAGAGGGTTGAACCAGATGGTCTCTGAGGCCCCCTCCAAATCTGTTATTCTAAAACTGTGATAATTTTGACCAGTTAAATAAATGCATCATTAGAAATGGAAAACAAAAAAGATTACTCTTTTAAACCCAAATTTTCATTGACTGGAAAAGATAAAGATAACTATGCCAAAACTGTCCATGGTTTAGTAAAAGTGAAATCACAGGCAGAATTTCGAATAACAAGTTTTGATTTGATGGGAGTTCAAAGCAGCCATAATTGACTTTCTGTTCAAAGAGGCTCTTAGCATAGACCTACACAAATTGCCCATATAAAATGGTTGGCAAGTACAAAGGAAAAAGACAAGAGCTATGTTGAGTAAAGAGTTATTTTAGACACCGAAGAATACGTTAGAACAGTAACTTGAGAAAGGAGAAACACGACAAACAGCATTATAGAATAAATTCATTTCCCAAGCACTCTGGAAGCAGCAATCCAGAGTCAGGAAATAAGATAGCAAATCACACTACAAGGGATAGATGAATCTGTAGTGTTCACAAAAGGAGGATAAATGAAGTTTATCACGGTGGATTCGGTGTTCAAAAGAGTAGAGAGTTCTTATAACAGCTGCTACTTGTGATGGATCTCAAGAATGTTTTCAAATGAGTAGATAAGGTCTCGCAATCCTTGCATTCTGCCGGGACTCAATCCTTTGGAAAAGGAAAGAGAGTAAAAGATAGTAGCTGAAATTTGTTGCCAGAAAATGCTGAATATAATTTTAAATATGCCTTTCTTATTTGAAATGTAATTCATGCTCATATCTGGAAAAATGCAAGGGAAGGAAAGATAAGCAAAAGAAAGTAAAACACATACTGCCATTACCCATCTAGATCCAACTCTACTCCATGGTTCCTCCTAGTATAAGATCTCAGATACTACAATGATAGAATTATTTCTTAAATTACCAGCCACATACCTATGTGTTCAAATTGGAGATTAGATAATTGGACTGTTGCCTTTGCCTTTTCTGTCTCTCCACCTCTAACCATAAATACAATTAGGTAAAGATTACTTAAACAGCCTCAGCGTGTTAAGGATGTAACATGGTTTTCCTAAGCTGCTAGCTTAGGCAACAGAGAGACGATCTGCTTCTACTGGTAAAATTAGCCTTTCTATCAGCCTGGGTATTACTTCTTGAACAAAGTATGTAGCAAGGGTTTCCATATGTCAGGTTTCCCTTCAAAGGGAATTATTAAGGTACAATTCCGTGCATTAATATCATAGGTTCCCCTCCTACATGCCAGCATGATTCAGTCAACATTCACAGTGAGTAATGGATATTCAAGTACAGACTCTGACTGCTGTCAGCACCTAGTCCCCCTAAGTCCCAGCCTCTCAGAGAGGTAAAAACGTTTTTGCACATAGCTCTACATTTATGCTCCTGTTATATGAATATTAGTCGAAGTGGACTTAGAAACCAATGGGTAGCAGTCTTAGGTTTCCAGGGCAAGTCATCTTCCCAGCATGGGCTTTAAGATAAGACTACATTGACTGACACTAAAGGCTCTGTAAAAGGGACCAATGAAGATTTCTATGGAGTTTTACATCATTAGCCAAAAATTTCATTTAGAGCCAACTGCTACTTCCTGGAATAAAGGCAAATGCCAATCACTTACACACGTTTTATAATAAATGTACTACCAACCAATCAAATAATTTAAACATTCAAAATCTTCTCATGGGGAGGACATTTCAAGCTAGGCAGCCAACACCAACTAGTTTTTGCGTTACTTCAAACGATGACAACAAAAGAAATAAAACTCATTACCCTTGAGTACTCATATTCTGACATTACACGATGTAAATCATCACTTCAGTGTGAAGTTGAATTCTGTTTGCTAATACTTTGTTGACGATTTTTGCAGCTATGCTCATCAGAAATATTAGTCGTAATTTTCTTGTAGCATCCTTGTCTGCCTTTGGTATCAAGGTAGTGTTTTTGGTAAAAGGAGGTGGAAAGTATTTCCTCCTCTTTAATATTTGGAACACTTTAAGATAAATTGGCTAACTCTTCTTTCAATGTCTGGTAGAATTCTTCAGTGAAGCCATCAAGTCCTGGGCTTTACTTTTCTTGGAGGGGCGGGGGGAGTTTTTGATTACTGATACAATCCCTTTGCTTGTTATTAACCTGTTCAGATTTTGTATTTTTTCATGATTCAGTCTTGGTAGGTTGTATGTTTCAAGGAAGTTATCCATTTCTTCTAGGTTATCCAATTTGTTCGTGTACAATTGCTCAGAGCAATCTCATAATCCTTTGTATTTCTGTGGTTATCAATTATAACGTCTTCACTTTCATTTCTTATTTGAGTCGTCTCTGTTTTTTTTAAATTTAATCTAGCTAAAGGTTTGTTAATTTTGTTTATCTTTTCAAAAAAACCAACTCTTAGTTTCACTGAACATTTTTGGTATGTGTTTTACTTATTTCTGCTCCGATAAATATTTCCTTCCTTCTGCTAACTTAGTTTGACGCTTCTTTTTCTAGTTCCTTTAGGTGCAAAGTTAGTTTGTCTATTTGGGATCCTTCCTATTTTATTGTAGTAATTTACCACTATAAAATCCCTCTTATAACTGCTTTCACTGCATCCAATAAGTTTTGGTATATTGTGTTTTTATTTACCTTTGTCTCAAGGTATTTTTTAATTTCCCTCTTGATTCTTTTAATTTGACACATTTGTTGTTTAGGAGTATGTTGTTTGTTGTCTACATGTTTGTGAATTTTCTAATTTTCCTCCTGGTATTGATTTCTGATTTTAGACACTATGTGGTCAGAAAAATTATTTGATATTCTTCCATTGCTTGAATTTATTAAGAGTTGTTTTGTCACCTAACATATGAGCTATCCCAGAAAATATTCTAGGCACATTATTTATTTATTTATTTATTTATTTATTTATTTATTTATTTTTATTATATTTTAAGTTTTAGGGTACATGTGCACAACGTGCAGGTTTGTTACATATGTATACATGTGCCATGTTGGTGTGCTGCACCCATTAACTCGTCATTTACATTAGGTGTATCTCCTAATGCTATCCCTCCACCCTCCCACCACCTGACAACAGGCCCCGGTGTGTGATGTTCCGCTTCCTGTGTCCAAGTGTTCTCATTGTTCAATTCCCACCGATGAGTGAGAACATGCGGTGTTTGGTTTTTTGTCCTTGCAATAGTTTGCTGAGAATGGTGGTTTCCAGCTTCATCCGTGTCCCTACAAAGGACATGAACTCATCATTTTTTATGGCTGCATAGTATTCCATGGTGTATATGTGCCACATTTTCTTAATCCAGTCTGTCATTGTTGGACATTTGGGTTGGTTCCAAGTCTTTACAATTGTGAATAGTGCCGCAATAAACATACGTGTGCATGTCTTTATAACAGCATGATTTATATTCTTTTGGGTATATACCCAGTAATGGGATGGCTGGGTCAAATGGTATTTCTAGTTCTAGATCCCTGAGGAATCGCCACACTGACTTCCAAAATGGTTGAACTTGTTTACAGTCCCACCAACAGTGTAAAATTGTTCCTATTTCTCCACATCCTCTCCAGCACCTGTTGTTTCCTGACTTTTTAATGATTGCCATTCTAACTGGTGTGAGATGGTATCTCATTGTGGTTTTGATTTGCATTTCTCTGATGGCCAGTGATGATCAGCATTTTTCTCATGTGTCTTCTGGCTGCATAAATGTCTTCTTTTGAGAAGGGTCTGTCCATATCCTTCGCCCACTTGTTGATGGGGTTGTTTGTTTTCTTCTTGTAAATTTGTTTGAGTTCTTTGTAGATTCTGGATATTAGCCCTTTGTCAGATGAGTAGATTGCAAAAATTTTCTCCCATTCTGTAGGTTGCCTGTTCACTCTGATGGTAGTTTCTTTTGCTGTGTAAAAGCTCTTTAGTTTATTTAGATCCCATTTGTCAATTTTGGCTTTTGTTGCCATTGCTTTTGGTGTTTTAGTCATGAAGTCCTTGCCCATGCCTATGTCCTGAATGGTACTGCCTAGGTTTTCTTCTAGGGTTTTTATGGTTTTAGGTCTCACATTTAAGTCTTTAATCCATCTTGAATTAATTTTTGTATAAGATATAAGGAAGGGATCCAGTTTCGGCTTTCTACATATGGCTAGCCAGTTTTCACAGCACCATTTATTAAATAGGGAATCTTCTACCCATTTCTTGTTTTTATCAGGTTTGTCAAAGATCAGACGGTTGTAGATGTGTGGTATTATTTCTGAGGGCTCTGTTCTGTTCCATTGGTCTATATTTCTGTTTTGGTACCAGTACCATGCTGTTTTGGTTATTGTAGCCTTGTAGTGTAGTTTGAAGTCAGGTAGCATGATGCCTCCAGCTTTGCTCTTTTGGCTTAGGATTGACATGGCAATGAGGGCTCTTTTTTGGTTCCATATAAACTTTAAAGTAGTTTTTTCCAATTCTGTGAAGAAAGTCATTGGTAGCTTGATGGGGATGGCATTGAATCTATAAATTAACTTGGGCAGTATGGCCATTTTCACAATATTGATTCTTCCTACCCATGAGCAAGGAATGTTGTTCCATTTGTTTGTATCCTCTTTTATTTCATTGAGCAGTAGTTTGTAGTTCTCCTTGAAGAGGTCCTTCACGTCCCTTGTAAGTTGGATTCCTGGTATTTTATTCTCTTTGAAGCAATTGTGAATGAGAATTCACTCATGATTTGGCTCTCTGTCTGTTATTGGTGTATAGGAATGCTTGTGATTTTTGCACATTGATTTTGTATCCTGAGACTTTGCTGAAGTTGCTTATTAGCTTAAGGAGATTTTGGGCTGAGACGATGGGGTTTTCTAGATATACAATCATGTCATCTGCAAACAGGGACAATTTGACTTCCTCTTTTCCCAATTGAATACCCTTTATTTCCTTCTCCTACCTGATCATCCTGGCCAGAACTTCCAACACTATGTTGAATAGGAGTGGTGAGAGAGGGCATCCCTGTCTTGTGCCAGTTTTCAAAGGGAATGCTTCCAGTTTTTGCCCATTCAGTATGATATTGGCTGTGGGTTTGCCATAGATAGCTCTTATTATTTTGAGATACTTCCCATCAATACCTAATTTATTGAGAGTTTTTAGCATGAAGGGTTGTTGAATTTTGTCAAAGACCTTTTCTGCATCTATTGAGATAATAATGTGGATTTTGTCCTGGGTTCTGTTTATATGCTGGATTACATTTATTGATTTGCGTATGTTGAACCAGCCTTGCATCCCAGGGATGAAGCCCACTTGATCTTGGTGGATAAGATTTTTGATGTGCTGCTGGATTCGGTTTGCCAGTATTTTACTGATGAGTTTTCCATTGATGTTCATCAGGGATGTCGGTCTAAAATTCTCTTTTTTTGTTGTGTCTCTGCCAGGCTTTGGTATCAGGATGATGCTGGCCTCAATAAGTTAGCGAGGATGTCTTCTTTTTCTATTGATTGGAATAGTTTCAGAAGGAATGGTACCAGCTCTTCTTTGTACCTCTGGTAGAATTCGGCTGTGAATCCATCTGGTCCTGGACTTTTTTTGGTTGGTAAGCTATTAATTATTGCCTCAATTTCAGAGCCTGTTATTGGTCTATTCAGAGATTCAACTTTTTCCTGGTTTAGTCTTGGGAGGGTGTATGTGTCCAGGAATTTATCCACTTCTTCTAGATTTTCTAGCTTATTTGCGTAGAGGTGTTTATAGTATTCTCTGACAGTAGTTTGTATTTCTGTGGGATCGATGGTGATATCCCCTTTATCATTTTTTATTGCGTCTATTTGATTCTTCTCTCTTTTCTTCTTTATTAGTCTTGCTAGTGGTCTATCAGTTTTGTTGATCTTTTCAAAAAACCAGCTCCTGGATTCATTGATTTTTTAAAGGGATTTTTGTGTCTCTATTTCCTTCAGTTCTGCTCTGATCTTAGTTATTTCTTGCTTTCTGCTAGCTTTTGAATGTGTTTGCTCTTGCTTCTCTAGTTCTTTTAATTGTGACGTTAGGGTGTCAATTTTAGATCTTTCCTGCTTTCTCTTGTGGGCATTTAGTGCTATAAATTTCCCTCTACACACTGCTTTAAATGTGTCCCAGAGATTCTGGTATGTTGTGTCTTTGTTCTCGTTGTTTTCAAAGAACATCTTTATTTCTGCCTTCATTTTGTTATGTACCCAGTAGTCATTCAGGAGCAGGTTGTTCAGTTTCCATGCAGTTGAGCGGTTTTGAGTGAGATTCTTAATCCTGAGTTCTAGTTTGATTGCACTGTGGTCTGAGAGACAGTTTGTTATAATTTCTGTTCTTTTACATTTGCTGAGGATTGCTTTACTTCCAACTATGTGGTCAATTTTGGAATAAGTGCGGTGTGGTGCTGAGAAGAATGTATATTCAGTTGATTTGGGGTGGAGAGTTCTGTAGATGTCTATTAGGTCCGCTTGGTGCAGAGCTGAGTTCAATTCCTGGATACCCTTATTAACGTTCTGTCTCATTGATCTATGTAATGTTGACAGTGGGGTGTTAAAGTCTCCCATTATTATTGTGTGGGAGTCTAAGTCTCTTTGTAGGTCTCTAAGGACTTGCTTTATGAATCTGGGTGCCCCTGTCTTGGATGCATATATATTTAGGATAGTTAGCTCTTCTTGTTGAATTGATCCCTTTACCATTGTGTAATGGCCTTGTCTCTTCTGATCTTTGCTGGTTTAAAATTTGTTTTATCAGAGACTAGGATTGCAACCCCTGCCTTTTTTTGTTTTCCGTTTCCTTGGTAGATCTTCCTTCATCCCTTTATTTTGAGCCTATGTGTGTCTCTGCAGGTAAGACAGGTTTCCTGAATACAGCACACTGATGGGTCTTGACTCTTTATCCAATTTGCCAGTCTGTGTCTTTTAATTGGAGCATTTAACCCAATTCATTTAAGGTTAATATTGTTATGTATGAATTTGATCCTGTCATTATGATGTTAGCTGGTTATTTTGCTCGTTAGCTGATGCAGTTTCTTCCTAGCTTTGATGGTCTTTACAATTTGACATGTTTTTGCAGTAGCTAGTACCAGTTGTTCCTTTCCATGTTTAGTGCTTCCTTCAGGAGCTCTTTAGGGCAGGCCTGGTGGTGACAAAATCTCTCAGCATTTGCTTGTCTGTAAAGTATTTTATTTCTCCTTCACTTATGAAGCTTAGTTTGGCTGGATATGAAATTCTGGGTTGAAAATTCTTTTCTTTAAGAATGTTGAATATTGGCCCCCACTCTCTTCTGGCTTGTAGAGTTTCTGCCGAGAGATCAGTTGTTAGTCTGATGGGCTTCCCTTTGTGGGTAACCTGACCTTTCTCTCTGGCTGCCCTTAACATTTTTTCCTTCATTTCAACTTTGGTCAATCTGCCAGTTATGTGTCTTAGAGTTGCTCTTCTCGAGGAGTGTCTTTGTGGCATTCTCTGTATTTCCTGAATTTGAATGTTGGCCTGCCTTGCTAGATTGGGGAAGTTCTCCTGGATAATATCCGGCAGAGTGTTTTCCAGCTTGGTTCCATTCTCCCCGTCACTTTCAGGTACACCATTCAGACGTAGATTTGGTCTTTTCACATAGTAGCATATTTCTTGGAGGCTTTATTCATTTCTTTTTATTCTTTTTTCTCTAAACTTCTCTTCTTGCTTCATTTCATTCATTTGATCTTCCATCACTGATACTGTTTCTTCCAGTTGATCGAATCAGCTACTGAAGCTTGTGCATTCATCACGTAGTTCTCGTGCCTTGGTTTTCGGCTCCATCAGGTCCTTTAAGGACTTTTCTGCATTGGTTATTCTAGTTAGCCATTCATCTAATCTTTTTTCAAGGTTTTTAACTTCTTTACCATGGGTTCGAACTTCCTCCTTTAGCTCGGAGAAGTTTGATCATCTGAATCCTTCTCTCAACTTGTCAAAGTTATTCTCCATCCTGCTTTGTTCCATTGCTGGTGAGGAGCTGCGTTCCTTTGGAGGAGGAGAGGCGCTCTGATTTGTAGAATTTTCAGTTTTTCTCCCCTGTTTTTTCCCCATGTTTGTGGTTTTATCTACCTTTGGTCTTTGATGATGGTGACGTACAGATGGGGTTTTGTTGTGGATGTCCTTTCTGTTTGTTAGTTTTCCTTCTAACAGTCAGGACTCTCAGCTTCAGGTTTGTTGGAGTTTGCCAGAGGTCCACTCCAGACCCTATTTGCCTGGGTGTCAGCAGTGGAGGCTGCAGTACAGCAAATATTGGTGAACAGCAAATGTTGCTGCCTGATCGTTCCTCTGGAAGTTTTGTCTCAGAGGGATACCTGGCTGTGTGAGGTGTCAGTCTGCCCCTACTGGGGGTGCCTCCCAGTTAGGCTACTCAGAGGTCAGGGACCCACTTGAGGAGGCAGTCTGTCCATTCTCAGATCTCCAGCTGCATGCTGGGAGAACCACTACTGTCTTCCAAGCTGTCAGACAGGGACATTTAAGTCTGCAAAGGTTTCTGCTGCCTTTTGTTTGGCTATGCCCTGCCCCCAGAGGTGGAGTCTACAGAGGCAGGCAGGCCTCCTTGAGCTGCAGTGGGCTCCACCCAGTTCAAGCTTCCCGGCCGTTTTGTTTACCTGCTCAAGCCTCAGCAATGGCGGGCACCCCTCCCCCAGCCTCGCTGCTGTCTTGCCGTTTGATCTCAGACTGCTGTGCTAGCAATGAGCAAGGCTCCATGGGCACAGGACTGTCCGAGCCATGTGCAGGATATAATCTCCTGGTGTGCCGTTTGCTAAGACTGTAAGAAAAGCACAGTATTAAGGTGGGAGTGACCCGATTTTCCAGTTGCCATCTGTCACCCCTTTCCATCGCTAGGAAAGGGAATTCCCTGACCCCTTGAGCTTCCCGGGTGAGGCGATGCCTCGCCCTGCTTCAGCTCATGCTCGGTGCACTGCACCCACTGTCCTGCACCCACTGTCTGACAATCCCCAGTGAGATGAACCCAGTACCTCAGTTAGAAATGCAGAAATCAGCCATCTTCTGCATCGCTCACACTGGGAGCTGTAGACTGGAGCTGTTCCTATTTGGCCATCTTGGAACCACCCTCTCTATGCACATTTTAAAAGAATGTGTATTCTGCTGCTGTTGGATAGAATGTTCTGTATATGTCTGTCATGACTGACCATTTGGTCTATACTGTTGTTCAATTCCACTGATCCTTATTGATTCCCTTGTTTCCCATGTTATTCATTGTTGAAAGTGGGGTATTTCAGTCCCCTACTTTTATTGTATTGCTGTCTATTGCACCTGGAGGACACAATGCTAAATGAAATAAGCCAAACCCAGAAAGGCAAATACTGCATGATCTTGCTTATATGTAGAATATAAAAAAGAAAATCAAACTCATAGAAATAGTAGAATGGTGGTTTCCAGGGGAAGTGGAAGGGGTGATGAGGAAAATGGGGACATGTTGATCAAAGAGTACAAAGTTTTAGTTATACAGTATGAATAAATTCTGGAGTCTAATGTATAGCATGGTTACTATAGCTAAGAATCCTATATTGTATACCTGAAATTTGCTGGGAGAGTAGATCTTAAATGTTCTCTCAAAAGAAGTATTGAGTGATGGACATGTTAATTAACTTGATTGTGGTATCACAATCATTTCACAATGTATAGCTATGCCAAAACATCATGTGGTACACCTTAAATACATACAATTTTACACTTAATTACAGCTGGGAGAAAAAACTCCTAATTTGCATCAGTGATTGCAAGGTTATGTGCCACACCATACTAAGACACAAAGATACAGGGATACAGAATACAGTAAAACATGGTTCCTGCCGGTTGTAGTAACAACAACAACAACAAAAGAACATGTTACCAACTGTTACGTCTTGACTTCCCCAAACTAAGCATCTGAGGAAGCATTACAAAGTACCTTGATTTGTTGTTTTTTCCAGAAGCAATCTATCCTTTTGAAGGATGTCTAAGATGTTAAAACTAGTGATTTATTCATGGTACAGAAGCACGAGATCTAGACTGGAAGTAGATGATGGAAAACCTGGCATTCAGAAAGAAAAGAGTATCTGGGCTGCTTTTTTGCAGACTCTTTGGAAGGGTTCTCAAATCTCTTATTCTAGAAGCATCTGAAAACAGGAAAGAACCCTGAGGTGACGTATGAAAATAAAAATAATTTTGAAAATTTTTTCAAAAATTTTCAGAATCCAAAATTTAATTTCCAAACTGTAATGAAGCAGAAAGTTATCCCAAAGTTTCTTGAATTAGCCACCTTATGCCTGTCTTAAGTGACTTTTGATAGATGGTTTAAAGTCTGAAGGAGATATCTAATATCAATCAATGTAAACAACTTTTGGCTATTAATTGATGATTAAGTCGTATAACCATCTACAGTGGCATGTTACCTCTGTGATGTGGAATAGGATGTAACGAGATTAACTCACAATAGGTGGGACCTGTGATGTATCAAGTACATGGATTTTCCTAATTTACTTAGTTGAAAATGTAACCTGACACCACACTTAAAGAAATAACATTGAGCTCTTTGTTTTGTAATATTATTTTCATTTTAAAAAAAGAGAGGACTATCCTGAAAATGATAAATTATGCTGTGAATAGAGAATAAAGTATAATCTTCTTTCCATTTTCTAAAAGGCTCTGCATTGATTGCACATGCCTCTCTCTCAAGCCTCATATCCTGACACTGTTCCTTCAAAATTTCAAAGTTTATTCTAACTTTGCACTTACTTTCCTCTACATGAAATAATCTTTTTTCTCTTTCTTCTCTTCCAGTCTCTACAGAGGTAACTCCTTCTTATTTGGGCTTCAGTACAAATCTTACTTGTTCAAAAACATGTTCCTTAACTTTGTACAACTTCATACTTTAGTCAACTCTTTATGTTTCTTTTACACTTTCCACAACTTCATTCCTTAGTCAACTCTTTGTGTTTCTCATGGTTCTTATCTGCATCAGAAAATATCTCATTTACCTGCTTACTGTGTTTTAGTCCCTACAAGTATATAAATTTCAAAAGGATAGGAAACGTGATTATCATATTTATCATTTGTTGGGAGCAGGCCCCCCAAAATCTGGCCATGAACTGGCCCCAAAACTGGCCATAAACAAAATCTCTGCAGCACTGTAACACGTTCATAATGGCCCTAACGCCCAAGCTGGAAGGTTGTGGGTTTACGGGAATGAGGGCAAGGAACACCTGGCCCGCCCAGGGCGGAAAAACGCTTAAAGGCATTCTTAAGCCATAAACAACAGCATGAGTGATCTGTGCCTTAAGGACATGCTCCTGCTGCAGTTTAGTAGCCCAACCTATTCCTTTAATTCGGCCCATCCCTTCGTTTCCCATAAGGGATACTTTTAGTTAATCAAATATCTATAGAAACAATGCTAATGACTGGCTTGCTGTTAATAAATATGTGGGTAAATCTCTGTTTGGGGCTCTTAGCTCTGAAAGCTGTGAGACCCCTGATTTCCAACTTCACACCTCTATATTTCTGTGTGTGTGTCTTTAATTCCTCTAGCACTGCTGGGTTAGGGTCTCCCCAACTGAGCTGGTCTCGGCATCATTAGGGTCCTATTTTCTACAAGACTGTCTAGAATATTTGTTAAGGAATGAATGAATGAAGTATACAGTGGCTTTCTAAGGAAGAAAAATTAAAGGAAAATTGTGTTTGTTCAATACTGGCATGGTTTTCTGAGCCTGGTGCAGTACTTGGCACGTATTATGTACAGTCTCTTGGTATAAGATACAAAACCCAATTAAGCCAAAATCTGATCATTGTAATTAATAAGAGGTTAAAATACCTCCAGTGTCCTTGATTGCTGTCTATGTAGAGTGAATAAAATCAAAAGTACATGTCATATATTTTTACATTTTTCAGTAGAATCATATATGTTGTTGACAACTGGCTCCCAGCATTTAATTGAATGTTATACTGATATATGTTTTAGCACTCTTGCACTCATCCTTCTTTAATCAAATTAACCAAATCTATATCTCATCAACCACACATACCTGAAGCTCAAATTTCTTGATGGCTATCAGAAAGATGTTCTGTCATATGTTCCATACAGCACTATTCACGATAGCAAAGACATGGAATCAACCTAGACACTCACCAACAGTGTGTTGGATAAAGAAACTTTGGTGTGTATACACCATGGAATACCATGCAGCCATAAAAAAGAATGAAATCACATCCTTGCAGCAACATGGATGCAGCTGGAAGCCATTATCCTAAGCATATAAACACAGGAACAGAAAACTGAATACTGCATGTTCTCACTGATAAATGGGAGCTTACCACTGAGTACTCATGGACATAAAGAGGGCAATGATAAACACTAAGGACTACTAGAGGGAACAGAGAGGGAGTGGGGGAGAGGCTGAAAACTAATTGTTGGGTACTATATCCAGTACCTGGGTAACAGGATCAATCATACCCCAAACTTCAGCATCATAACCATGTAGTAAATCTGCATTTGTACCCCATGAATTTAAAATAAAAGTTGAAATTATCTTAAAAAAGAAAGAAAAGAAAAATGGGCTGTGTTGCAGTATGGTTTTCAACTTCTCTTCAACATTGACCTGTAGCAGTTACTCTTGTCCCTGACTGTAATCTCGGGTCATTCCCAAAAGAGAGGTGTTCCTCTTTTCATATTAAGTGCAATAATAAATTTTGGAGCCCCATCAAGCCTAAGAATGAGTTGTGCAAATAAGCATCAATTCCAGAGTTAATGATCTCTTTTCAAACAATGATCCTGTTCTCCAACTTGTTGTTTCCCTGAAAAGTAATTTAAACATTGAAAATTAAAACACAATCTGTTTCCTCCCCAACCTCTACCTGCTGTCACTACTCCTGGATTAAATTAATTTTATTTAAGCGAAAAGTAACTTGAATTCCAACACCTTGCTATTTGAGGTCCCACCAGGTTACTGCTACCTTGCTGTAAATCTGGTTGCTTCATTATTACTTTCAGTGAAATTAATATCAACTGCCTATTTGTTTTCCCTGTCAATGTCTTTAAAACTCCTTGATGGGGGGCCCTAATAAAAAGACATAAAACAATAAGGAAAGCGATTTCTCTACCTTCCTTTTGGTGTCTGACATCATTAATGTGACTAATGAGGTGATCAAGGAACCCAAATCACTTGTCACCACTAGATTGCTCATACAATCACCAAGGCTCAAAGGTGGGCAAGGTATAAAAATGAAAGTTTTCTCTTATGTCTGTTCTCCTTCTTTCTCAAGGAGACAATCTACTCTTGTGTGAAGCTTTTTGTAATACAATAGTAATCATTTTGTAATGGAAAATGCTAAGAAAATGGCAAACATGTTCATTTGGTTCCAAATATTTGTGATGACTAACACGTAGTTATTTTACTTTAAAAGCTTAACAGTACATTCCAGATGATTGAATGATTATAAAATTAAAAAACAAACATCTGAATTTGTACCTTTAACATAAAAAGTAAAGGGAAGGTGTATACTCACCAATGGAAGTGATTGGAAGTCCAGCAGTAGTTTGGGCTTCAGACACAGCTAAACTATCTTGCCCTTTCTGTCCCTCTCTTCCTCTCCCCAGTTTTCTTTTTCTGCTTCCATTTTCTGCTCTAAATTTTTCTGTTGTTTTCAAAATCTTAGAGAGAGAGAGAGAGAGACTCTTCTTTTCTCTCATTCTAGTAAAATTCCAAAATTAATACAAAAACTCAGCTTGGTGACGTGCTTAGCCCTAGAGGATGAGAATATCAAATACGCTGATGTGTTCACAGAACCACATGCCCAGTCCTGGAAAAGGGAGGGGTCGTTCACTCTGATGTGAAACATACTCCTGAGCGTGAAATATCAAAATAGCTTTTGCCCACAGGAAGAAAAAAAATCAGTCCCCAGCAGTCAAATAATAAAAATAAAATGTCTACTATAGAAGGAATAAATTATTTTCAAAGAGAAAATGGGTTTGCACTCGGTCACATAAACTTTGTTCTACAGAGTTATGCACTGATGGGAATTCTCATACATGGCTTGGGGATATAAGCTTTAGAAATTTTTGAGAGGGCAATTTGGAAACCTTTTATATATGAATATACACTTTGATCAGACAACCACTCCTCTAGGAATTTATCCTAAAGAAATAATAATAAATCTTTGCCAAAAATATGTAACTAAAATGATGTTTATCTCTTTGAATATATAACAACAAAAAATTGGAAGCAAACAAAAGGTTCAAAAATAGGGAACAGATCTAAAACAGCATCAAAACTGGTAATTTTTTCATGTATTCATTTGCTTATCTGTTATTGATTTATTTATAAAATCTGAAAAGGTATACACCAAGAGGCTAGGACTGTCTGTCTCTGGGTGGTCGAAATATGGGTGACTTTTCCTGCATTTCGTTCTTTTTTTTTTTTTTTTTGCTAATCTCTATTTACTAATTTTTTACCCAATGTGTGTAAACATGTATTAGTTTTGTAATGTTTGTATTCTGAAAAGAGGGCAACTTGAACACAGATGGCTGATTCACTCCAAACACCCTAAGTGATACCACATTTGGATATGAGGCATGGTGGGACATAGGACACTTCTGAGGTGTTCTTAGGGACCAAGAATTGGCCAGAAATTATTCTTTTATGTGTCTGTCGCTAGCTTAGAGGTCAGCCTCAGGGCAGAGAGCTTACTGTATTTGGGGTCACCAATGATGACTCAGATGTCTTGGTTCCCTGAGGGAAATCAGCAAGCAGGTGCCTGGGCTCCTCTTCCAGAAAGGCTGCACCTGACCACTTGCCACATGTTCATACCAACCCCGAAGTCCAGGAAGCAATCACACTGAGGGCAAGAATGTCCCATTCCCTAAAGTGGGGAGATGGCTGCTACTTGTATTCCAATTTCATATAATACTTCAAAATTAATTCCAGATGAAGTGAAGATTTAAATGCAAAATCTAAAATAGTTAAAATATTGTAAGAAACTTTGGAAGAATATGTGTATAATCTTAGATTATCATAAGCAAGATAGAAAACCTAAAGGTTGTAATGAAAAGTATAGACATATTTCATTATATAAAAGCATCTTTTATGACAAACATAACATGAGAAATATTAAAAGAGAAACGAGAGACTGGAAAAATATTTTCAATGTTTTCAATGCTTATGTCAGATAACAGATTTGACATGTCCTTTATTAATAATAATACAAATAAAGGATTTGTAGTCCCTGTATAAAATGATCTCCTCATGTCCTTTGCAGAACATGGATGGAACTGGAGGCCATCATCCTTAGCAAACTAACTCAGGAACAGAAAACCAAATACTGCATGTTTACTTATAAGTGGGAGCTAAATGATGAGAACACATGGACACATAATAGAAAACAACAGATACTGGGGCCTACTGGGGGGTGGTAAGTGGGAGGAAGGAGAGGAAAAGAAAAAATAACTACTGGGTACTAGGCTTAGTACCTGAGTCACAAAATAACCTGTACAACAGCAAATCCCTGTGACATGAGTTTACCTATATAACAAACCTGCGTGTGTACCCCTGAACCTAAAATAAAAGCTTAAAAATAAAAGATCAAATAAAATGATCTCCATAAATATGATAAAGAAAAATAGCGGAAGGGAAAAATGGACAGAGGCAAAGGCTGAAGAGGCTGATAAAAATACAAGAATTCTCCTAAACTCTTTATGGCTTATGGGAATGCAAATTAAAACAATAAGACGCCGTTTTTTATTCATCTAATATAGAAATACTAATGCAGTGAGAATGCAGCACCAAGAAGGAACAGAGATATAATCTCTGATGTGTAATAATTTGTGAATTGCAATGACCACTTTTGAAGGCTAATTAAGCAGTGAATACTAAAATTGTAAATGTTTACCAACTTTGACCTACCAATCTCACATTAGGGAACCTAGTCTATGAAAATAAAAATCCTTATGTTATATGAGCAAAGATGTTTGTTGCAATAGTATTTTATAGTGGCAAAACAAAAGGAAAAAATGAAGAACTACTAACAGGAAATGATTGGAAAAATCACAGCACATCTATTGCATGCAATAATGGATAGCCATCAGAAAGAAAACTAGGTTAGACCAGTGATTTTCAAGGTGTGGCCCCTGGATAGGCAGCCACAGCATCACCTATAAAGTTGTTAGAAATGCTTATTCTCTGGCTCTACATCAGGCCTTTTTTTTTTTTTTTTTTTTTTTGAGACGGAATCTCGCTGTGTCGCCCAGGCTGGAGTGCAATGGCATGATCTCGGCTCACTGCAAGCTCCACCTCCCAGGTTCACACCATTCTCCTGCCTCAGCCTCCCGAGTAGCTAGGACTACAGGCGCCCGCCACCATGCCTGGCTAATTTTTTGTTTTTTTAGTAGAGACAGGTTTTCACCGTGTTAGCCAGGATGGTCTCGATCTCCTGACCTTGTGATCCGCCCGCCTCGGCCCCTCAAAGTGCTGGGACTACAAGGGTGAGCCACCGCGCCCAGCCTACACTAGGCCTTCTGAATCAAAATCTCAGAGGGTAGGGCATAGTAATCTGTGTTTTATCAAGTTATCCCGGTGTTTCTGATACAGAAACAATATATCAATTGTCTTGAGAGGTCTATTTGCACTGTTAAATGAGAAATAAAATTTCCAAGTAATATATTTAATGTGATTCATTTTTATGAAAACACCATCAACAAAGCATGTACATTTTTTGATGTACTTTTGCATAAAGTTGCATGAAAAAGCAGAAAGTTGTGGAATAATAGCTATGTTTGATGCCAATAACATTGATTAGGATGGGAAAGCAGTGGAATGGGAGAAAAAAACCTCTCTCTTCATGCATCATTGCTTCATTTTTCACTATTAATAGTGAGTATATATTACTTTCCTAATTTTAAAAAATGACATTTAAACAATAAATTAAAGAAAAAAGTGTAAATGAGCCTACACTTTAACTCCATGTAGATCAAACAGACCCCAAGCTAATTGGACATCAATAGATAAAAGGTTCTTTCTTTCCCCAAGCCTTAACTGGCCTCAAGATCTAGCTAGTGATGGTCCTGGAACAACTCTTCATTAAGCAAACTATTTAAATAGGTAGATAAGTCAGAGGAAGGATTCTTGGATTTCGCATGAAGAAGCTAATAATGCAATTACCCTGTATCATTCTCTCGAAACCACCTGCCAGTTAAAGACCCGTCCATTGGACCTTCTGAATAGATTACAGTCACTGTAAGCAAACTATATAAATGTCAACATCTCTAAAACGACTTTATGGTAGTTTAGTAATTGTGAAAATTTTGTGTATTGTTACTTTATATCAGTCCTTCTTATCATGTTTTAGTTTTAAATTTCAAATCATGTAAAAAAAAGATGATGAGTTCATGTCCTTCGTAGGGACATGGATGAAACTGGAAACCATCATTCTCAGTAAACTATCGCAAGAACAAAAAACCAAACACCGCATATTCTCACTCATAGGTGGGAATTGAACAATGAGATCACATGGACACAGGAAGGGGAATATCACACTCTGGGGACTGTGGTGGGGTGGGGGGAGGGGGGAGGGATAGCATTGGGAGATATACCTAATGCTAGATGACGAGTTAGTGGGTGCAGCGCACCAGCATGGCACATGTATACATATGTAACTAACCTGCACAATGTGCACATGTACCCTAAAACTTAAAGTATAATAAAAAAAAAAAAAAAAGAAAACCTGGGGCCAGAAAAAAAAAAAAAAAGATTTCTTGTTTAAAACCTTAACCATTTATTGAAATACAATTTTTAAAGGTCAAATTAAGTTATTGAATTATCACTTTTTTACCTAAGAATTTTCTTTCGAGGACAAAATCTTTCAATACTATCACTTGATATTGATCCTATCTATATTTTAAGTTTGTTAGAAAATACATTTATTTAAAAATGTCCACCAAGTCAATAATTATGTGACTGTTGAATCCAAAAGTTTCATCCCAGGAAGTCACACAAGCTAATAACATGGGCCAGAATAATCACCGAGATTAGGTAAATTTAACTCACTATGTTGACTTCTTCCTTTTAATTGCTTACCTCTTGAATGTAGTCAATAGTTTGATGAGCTCTGATTATGAAGAACTGAGCTAAAAATATTTTGAATTAATAATCATCTGCAAAGTGATATTAAAGATTGTAAAACTTTTGTCCCCTGCCCCCTTTCTCATTCTTTTTTTTTTTTCTTTTTCTTTTTCTTTTGTTTAAGACAGAGTTTCGCTCTGTTGCCCAGGCTGGAGTGCAGTGGCGCGATCTCGGCTCACTCAGCCTCCTCCTCCCAGGTTCAAGCAATTCTCCTGCCTCAGCCTCCTGAGTGGCTGGGACTCAAGTGCACACTGGCACACCTGGCTAATTTTTGTATTTTCAGTAGAGACAAGGTTTCACCATGTTGGCCAGGATGGTCTCTATCTCCTGAGCTCATGATCCACCCGCCTCGGCCTCCCAAAGTACTGGGATTACACGCGTGAGTCACCGTGCTCAGCCTCTCATTCTTTTTTCATGAGACAACTTTAGGGTTACGACTGAGGTGAATCTCTAATTACTAGTGCCCAGGTGATTTGATCTGTGCATTTTACTAGAAAATTAACAGGAACATTTACTTGCCCTTAATAAAAATCTATATTCCACTAAAAGAAACTCATGTTTAAAATTTCCCTAAGCCTGAAAGAAATACTTCCATAACCTAATATGTCAAGGTGGTCTAAATGAGGATTTTCCAAGACAATCACATAAAAAGAAGCTTTTGCCACTAGACTTAAATAGATTGGATTTATATAATTTAATAAATTGACAAAGTCCACTGTAATTCTTTAGAAGTGAATCTCTTTTCATCTTCCAAGTTCATTGGCTTCATTACTGTTGCAAATAATTTCTAAACCAGGATTACATCTGCACCTCTCCAGAGAGCTGCTCAGAGTCCTGAGAAAAATCCTACTAATTTTGGGACATGCTTTAGTTCTCATCAGATACCAACAAAGAAAACTCTTTCTGCCTTAGCTATAAAATATTTGCTCTGCATTAATATATTTTGCTAGTATATATATATAATCTTTTCCTTCAAGCAAATATTTGAGAACCTACTATGTTCCAGTTCTTGGCAAGCACTTCAAGCATGTAAGGAAAATAAACACAAAGATTTGACATAAGTACTAGCTTACAGTACAGTAAGGGTCTTTTCCTAAAAGAGTTCCTAAATGTATTTTTACTAACTCAGTAACTACTTAATTAGATGTTTAACTGAACACACGTGCTATTTCCTACCCTTTCAGTAACTAATTAATGCATTTTCCTATTTTGCTTTAAAAGTTGCACCAGCCTCCACACTGTTTCTTTGCATCTTTCCCTTCATCGAGGCCCAGTGGTCACTAGCATTCAACCGAGGAGCAGATAGTAATGTACCTTCCAAAATTATTTGACTTTATTTCCATACTACTCTCTCTTTTATGAAAGAATATCCTGAGATGCTCAGATTAGGGAGAATATTTTTATTTAAATATTAGGAGTTTGTGCTTGCATAATTTAAATCACAATATCTTCCTCTGCAAGGACTTATATGTTATGCTGAGAGATTATCGGTTTTATCTGTGGTGTTAATGGAAATTCAAATTGTTAAATTAGATACAGATATCATATTCATGGTTTGCATTATTGAGGAAAAAAGCAGACAGTTGAATAGATTTGGAAATTGTGCATGTTCAAGGTAATGAGTATAGTAAATGTGAAAAAAAAATGTAGTTTTAAAAAAATGTAGTTGTAGGGAAAAAGTCTATCCAATATAAACTCTCAACCATAGCTGTAAGATTTTTTTTTTCAGTAAATTCTATTCTGTTCTTTATCCCAGAAAAAAAATTTTCAGTTGATGGGAAACAAAGTCCAATATTAAAGAATTCATGTTACTGAAATTCCCACCAGTTAATAATGTCCCTTGAGAGCCATAGCCAGACTTTATAGGAGAGAAGATGTATACCCTTCTGCAGAGTTCCCCCTGTTAACCAGGCAAATCACAGAACGTATGGCTGAAAGAGCTGCAGTTCACCAGTCCCCTTCCACCATCAGATACTAGATTTCCCACATTTGCAGTAGATGATGATCCATAAGATACTTCTATGTATTTGCAACAACAACCTTTGAAAAGTATGATGCCATCAGTAGGTGTTTCCCTGGAAAATTTCTTTAACCACAAAGTACCTTAAACTCCACACTAGAATTCTTAGAATGGAGATTCATTGAACCCACACTGTGGTTTCCTATTAGAACTACATCAAAGAGAATATGAACTACCATCTCCAGCTAATTGTTAGAAATGAAGATGCTGAAGTTAAAATGCCTGGGTTTAATTCCCAGATGTGTAATCTTGCACATAGTACTTAGTCTCTGTCATTCTTCTTCACATGTAAAATGGAGATGAAACTGTTGCTCACCTCAAAGGCTTATTGTGAAGATGAAATAAAGTGCTTAGTACAATGCCTAGTACCTAGTTCCCCCCCTACAAATTCCTCATTTAACAAACATATATGTGTGCTACTATTTGGTCATTTTCAATGTTTTTACACTCCATCACTTTTCTAAATATACTTTAAGGGGTTTATTGGTTTTATTGGCATTTCCAAAGAACTAGATTCATACTGATTTTCTGAAGAGTTTTTTGTTATTTTCTGCTTTCCTTTTTATACATTTTATAAAATTGAGATACATCTTTTTCTTGATATTCTGTTTTCTTTGGTTATTTTTCTTTATCTAGGTTTTTTTATTTTAGCCTTCTTTCCTAAATGTGGGCATTAGGACACTGCTTATAGCTTGTACTATAAACAATAGGCTTGAGCATGTTTTCTAGAGTTTTCAGTGTTCATGTTAATTTTCTCTTTGATTCAAGAATAAACTGGGAGTGAATTTCTTAATTTTCATGAAATTCAAATTCCTTTGTGTCATCCCTTGGTTTTTAGATTACTGTATTTTGTTTGAGAATACCTTTTAGTTTACCGTCATCTCTATTAAAAAAGATTTTTGTCTTGACAGTTAAAAATGTACTACCATCTAAGAAAATTTCTTTAAATTAGTAATTCTGATACACCCTTAATAATTTCCAAGAAGATTTCTGCAGGTCATGTAGCCTTGATGTTGAGAAACATAGAATAATTAATAAAATCAAAAGAAAGTCAATGTTTGAATGTCTAGGCATTCTGTTTCCTTATTATAAATTTTAAGTATCGGCCGGGCATGGTGGCTCACACCTGTAATCCCAGCACTTTGGGAGGCTGAGGCGGGCGGATCACGAGGTCAGGAGATTGAGATCATCCTGGCTAACATGGTGAAACCCCGTCTCTACTAAAAATACAAAAAATTAGCCAGGCGTGGTGGCAGGCACCTGTAGTCCCAGCTATTCAGCACGCTGAGGCAGGAGAGGCGGAGGTTGCAGTGAGCCAAGATCACGCCACTGCACTCCAGCCTGGGCAACAGAGCGAGACTCCGTCTCAAAAAAAAAAAAAATTAAGTATCTAGTAAGAATCAAGAATAAGGCATGGGAAGAATTTTAAGTATTTCTACTTGGTTATACATTTACTCCACTCAGTTTTAATAATCTCTTTATAATATTAGTCAGTCCAGGAAGTTTTCTGGAAGTAAGGTAACAGGAACTTGAGCATCAAAACAGAATGGTGGGTATGAAGTGGGCCCAGCAGACTGGGTTCAGGAAAGACACAGACTGTCAAGTTCAAGCCCATGTTTAAATATACATATAAATAAATAGACCATCCAAAATATATGTAACGAGCATCAGATAAGAAAAATTTACTATTACGATACTTCTGCCCCAAGAAGAAAAAACAAACAAGCAAACAAAACATGCAAGAACAAATGGCTTAACTTCCAAGACATGGCCAAAAACAGAGACACAGATCTTCATATAAGTTCTAGAAGTTTATCATCTCAGTCCCCAAAAACAAGACATTTATCCTGAATCCAGAGTTCTCACTATTTTATGCAGGGTTATGGAAAGAAAAACTATTCACATAACTTTGAGCAAGTGGTTCTCATTGAGTTTCAGTTTCCACATCTGATAAACAGCTGTGGGGTGGTAAAGGGCCTGACTATGTAATCTGTACATTTATTTTTAGCTTTAATATTCTATAGTTTTGTAGGCTGGTTAACATATGTCTACTCAGCATTAAAAACATATGAAGAGGCTGGGCGTGGTGGCTCATGCCTGTTATCCTTGCACTTTGGGAGGCCAAGGTAGGCAGATCACTTGAGGTCAGGAGTTCTAAACCAGCCTGGCCAACATGGTGAAACCCCGTCTCCACTTAAAAAAAAAAAAAAAAAAAAATTTAACCAGGCAAGGTGTTGGGTGCCTGTAATCCCAGCTACTTGGGAGGCTGAGGCAAGAGAATTGCTTGAACCTGAGAAACGGACATTGCAGTGAGCCAAGATCATGCCACTACACTCCAGCCTGGGCGACAGAGTGAGACTCTGTCTCAAAATATAATAAAATAAATAAATAAACAAACAAACATATGAAAAAAGTCCAATCAGAAATAGCAGGGCTATAAGATAACTTATTAAAATGGTTTTGATTGAATACACAGCACCCTAAACTATAACTTGATAAGACTAGTTTTGAAGTTATCTTTTCATTGATAATAACCTGTCTTCAGGTATAAAGATTAATCATGTCAGAAGTTATTTTGTGATGTAAAAATTTAATTTAACCACCTAAAACTGTAAGAAGGAAGTAAACTTCTGAGTACCAAAAATGGGCCAAGAAATACACGTTAGGTGTTTTCCATGTTTTATAAGTAGAAATGATGAACATAAAATTGTAAACTATCAGCCTCTAGCTGATATGGGTTGGTTCCCTGCCCATACCCCTTGGGTGTTGTGACTTTAGTTTGTTCCTGCACAAATATTATACCAACTGGCAATATCTGCATCTCTTTACCTGAAAGTCTGGGAAGCCATGGAAGGCTGCTTTGCCTGCACAGAGCAGGCAGATGGCTAGCTTATCCACTCTGCAGGCAAAGTGTGTGTTTTACACTATTAACTTAAAAAAAAATCACAAGATATGAATTTATAAAAGGAAAGAGGAGATTGTATTTCTTTTAAAGAGTTACAGTCTGCAAGGTGGCCATCCCACAGGATGGGAAGCGTGCCTCATGCCAAGAACAGAAACAGGCACTTCAAAGGAGGAGTTGGAGTGGGATCTCTATGCTCAAGAAATTGGCTAAATACACATATTCAAGTGACAGGAGGGGCTTTGAATACAAAGGTACTCCTGACACATGCATATTGAACAAACATGCATATAACATACAACCTATGTTCACTTTGGGGTAGAGACTTAACATTTAAATGTATTACAATTAGATACTATAAATCAAAAAATCTTTTCGGGACATGAAGGCACACAAGTGCACAATCTCTGTAAACCAGCCAGGACCAGCCCGTGGTCAGTGGCCTTCTTATCTGAAGAAAGTTACTAACATCAGTCTCTAATCCAAGATAAGAGTAGTCCCCTCTTATATTCAGAGGGTATGTTCCAAGACCTCCACTGAATGCCTGAAACTGAGGATAATTTACTGAGCTGGATTGACCTTACTTGGAACAAGTTCCTGCTTGTGCTTTTTTGGTGTATTTTTCAACTTTTATTGTGGATACAAGGGGTACTTGTGCATGTTTGTTCCCTGGGTACTTTGCATAATGCTAAGGTTTAGGTTATGAATGATTCTGTCACCCAGATCCAGAGCATAGTACCCAAAAGTTAGTTTCAATCCATGCCCCCCACCCACAGTAGTCCCCATTTCTATTGTTGTCATCTTTATGTTTCTGAATACTCAGTGTTTAGTTCTCATTTACAAGTGAGAACCCATGGTATTTGTTTTCTCCTCCTGTGTTAATTAGCTTAGGATAATGGCCTCCAGCTACATCCATGTTGCTGCAAAAAGTGGGATTACGTTCTTTTTTACAGCTGTGTGATATTCCATGGAATATATGTAACACATTTTCTTTATCCAATCCACCATTGACAGGTACCTAGGTTGATTTCATGTCTTTGCTATTGTGAATAGTGCTGCAATGAACATGCAGGTGTATGTGTCCTTTTGGAAGAAAGATTTGTTTTCTTTTGGACATATACCCAGAAATGGCATTACTGGTTTGAATGGTGTTCTGAGTTCTTTGAGAAATCTCCAAACTTCTTTCCCCAGTAGCTAAACCAATTTACGTTCCCACCAACAATGTATAAGCATTCCCTTCTCTCTACAGCCTTGCCAGTATCTGTTATTTTTTGACTTTTAATAATAGCCATTCTGACTGATTTGAGATGGTATCTTATTGTGGTTTTGATTTGCATTTCTCCTATCATTAGTGATGAGGAGCATTTTTTTCCTATTTTTGTTGGCTGCTTTTATGTCTTCTTTTGAGAAGTGTCTGTTCTGTACTTTGCATAGTTTTTAATGAGATATTTGTTGTTTGCTTGTTGATTTGTTTAAGTTCCTTATAGATTCTGGATATTAGACCTTTGGTGGATGTATAGTTTGTGAATATTCTCTCCCATTCTGTAGGTTGTCTGTTTACTCTGTTGATAGTTTTTTTTGGTTTTTTTTGTTTTTTTTTTGTTTTTTTCTGGGCAGAAGCTCTTTAGTTTAATTAGGTCCCATTTGTCAATTTTTGTTTTGGTTGCAATTGCTTTTAGAGACTTAGTCATAAATTTTTTCCCAAGGCCAATGTCCAGAATAATTTTCCTAGATTTTATTCTAAGATTTTTATAGTTTGAGGTCTTACAGTTAAGGCTTTAATCCATCTTGAGTTAACTTTTGTATATAGTGAAAGGTTGGGGGTCCAGTTTCATTCTTCTACATATGGTTAGACAGCTATTACAGCACCATTTATTGAATAGGGAGTTCTTTCTTCATTGCTTATTTTTGTCAACTTTGTCAAAGATTAGATGGTTGTAGGTGTACAGTCTTATTTTTTGGTTCTCTATTCGGTTTCATTGGTCTATGTGTCTGTTTTTATGCTAGTATCATGCTGTTTTGGTTACTGTAACCTTATAGTACAGTTTGAAGCCAGGTAACCTGATGCCTCCAGCTTAGATCCTTTAGCTTAGGATTGGTTTGGCTATTTGGGTCCATTTTTTGTTCCATATGAATTTTAAAATAGTTTTTTCTAATTCTGTAGCAAATAATCTTGGTAGTTTGAAAGGAGTAGCACTGAATCTGTAGATTGCTCTGAGCAATGTGGTCACTTTAACCATGTTAATTCCTCTAATCCATGAGCATGGAATGTTTTTTCATTTGTTTGTGTCATCTCTGACTTCTTATTGCAATGTCTTGTAGTTCTCCTTGCAGAGATCTTTCACCTCCTTGGTTAGATGTATTCCTAGGTATGTTTTTGTGTGTGTGTGTGGTTATTGTAAATGGAACTGTGATCTTGATTTGGCTCTAAGCTTTAACATTATTGGTGTATAGAAACGCTACTCACTTTTATACATTGAGTTTGTATCCTGAAACTTTACAGAAGTTGTTTATCCATTCCAGGAGGCTTTTGATGGAGTCTTTAAGGTTTTCTAGGTGTAGGATCATATAATTTATTAAGAGAGATAGTTTGACTTGTATTTTTCCTATTTGGATGCCTTTTATTTCTTTCTTTTGCATGATTGATCTGGCTAACACTTCCAGTGTTGAATGGGTATCCTTGTCTTGTTCCAGTTCTCAAGGGGAATGCTTCCGGTTTTTGCCCATTGAATATAATATTGGTCGTGGTTTTGTCATAAATGACTTTTATTATTTCGAGTTATTCTTTTTTATGTATTTTGTTGGGGATTTTTGCATCTATGCTCATCAGGGACATTGGCCAATGGTTTTCCTTTTTCATTGTGTGTTTGCCAGGTTTTGCCATCAGGGTGATGCTTCATAGAATGAGTTAGTGAGGAGGTCCTTCTCAGTTTTTTGGAATAGTTTCAGTAGGACTGATGCCAGTGATTTGTTGTATGCCTGGTAGAGTTCGGCTGTGAATCCATCTGGTCCAGGACTTTTTTGATTGGCAAATTTTTTATTACTGATTCAATTTTGGAACTCATTCAGTATTTCAATTTTTTCCTGATTCATTCTTGAGAGATGGTATATTTTCAGGAATTTATTAATTTCCTCTAGATTTTGTAATTTGTGTGCATAGAGGTGTTCACAATAGTCCCTGAGGATCTTTTGCATTTCTGTCAGATTGGTTGTAATGTCACCTTTCTCATTTCTGATTGTGCTTATTTGGATATTCTCTCTTTTTTTTCTTTGTTAATATAGCTAGCTAGCTATCAATCTTATTTATCCTTTCAAATAACCAACTTTTGGTTTTACTGATTTTTATATGGATATGAGTGTTTCAATTTCATTCAGATCTGCTCTGATTTTAGTTATTTCTTCTGCTAGCTTTCAGATTAGTTTGTTCCTGTTTTCCTAGTTCTTCTCAGTGTGATGTCAGATCATTAATTTAAGATATTTCTAGAACTTTAAGGTAGGCATTTAGTACTATACATTTTTCTTCTAAAAGGGAATGCTTATACACTGTTGGTGGGAGTGTAAATTACTTCAATCATTGTGGAAAGCAGTATGGTGATTCCTCAGAGAGCTAAAAGCAGAACTAACCATTTGACCCAGCAATCCCATTACTGGATATATACTGAAATGAATATAAATCATTCTACCACAAAGACACATGCACATGTGTGTTCTTTGCAGCACTATTCACAATAGCAAAGACATGGAATCAACCTAAATGCCCATCAGTGACAGACTGGATAAAGAAAATGTAGTACATATATACCATGGAATACTATGCAGCCATAAAAGAAAATATTATGTCTTTTGCAAGAACATGGATAGAGCTAAGGGCCATTATCCTTAGCAAACTAATGCAATAACAGAAAACCAAATACGCACATGTTCTCACTTATAAGTAGGAGTTAAATGATGAGAATTCATGGACACAGAGAAACAACACACGCTACAGACTACTTGAGGGCGGAAGGTGGGAGGAGGGAGAGCATCAGAAAAAATATTATTGGGTATTAGGCTTCATACCTGGGTGACAAAACAATCTGTACAACAAGCCCCTGTGATTAAAGTTTACCTACATAACAAACCTGCACATGTACCCCTGAATGTACAATAAAAGCTTAAAAACTAAACAAAACAAAACAAAAAAAAACCCTTTTCTCCTAACACTGCTTTTGCTGTATCTCATAAATTTTGGTATGTTGTATCTCTGTTTTCATTTACTTTAAATAATTTTTTTATTTCTGTCTTAATTTCATTGTTTACCAAAAGTCACTCAGGAGCAAATTGTTTAGTTTCCATGTAATTGTATAGTTTTGAGAGATCTTCTTGATATTAATTTCTATTTGTATTCCATTCTGGTCCAACAGTATGGTTAGTATGATTTCATTTGTTTTTTAATTTGCTGAGATTTGCTTTATGGCTTAGCATGTGGTCGATCTTGTATTACCTTCCATTTGCGGATGAGAAGGATGTATATTCTGTGGCTGATGAGTAGAGTATTCTGTAGATGGCTTGGTTCCAATTGATCAAGTGTTAAGTTTATGTTGCATTTATGTCCAGGATTTCTGAGTTTAAATCCAGGATTTCTTTTTTAGTCATCTGCCTTGATGATCTGTCTAGCGCTGTCAATGGAGTGTTAAAGTCCAAAACTATTATTGTGTGACTAAGTCTTTTCATGGGTCTAGAAGTAGTTGCTTTATGAATCTGGGTGCTCCAATGTTGGTTAAATACATATTTAGGACAGTTATGTTTTCTTGTTGAATAGAAACAATTATAATATAATGCCTTTCTTTGTCCTTTTTTACTATTGTTGCATTCAAGACTGTTTTATCTGATATAATAGCAACCCTCTTTTTTCTTTTCCATTTGCATGATAGATCTTTCTCAAACCCTTTATTTTGAGCCGATGAGTGTCATTACATGTGAAACTGGTCTCTTGAAACAGACAGATGGATCTTGTTTTTTAATAGTACTTACCATTCTGTGCATTTAAATTAGGCATTTAGACCATTTATATTTAAGGTTAATATTGATATGTCAAGTTTTAATCTTATTGTGAGGTTGTTAGCTGGTTGCTTTGTAGTTTCTATCACGTGGTTGCTTTACAGGATCTTCAGGCTATGTATTTAAGTGTGTTTTTATGGTAACAAGCACTGTTTTTTCATTTCCATGTTTAGAACTCCCTTAAGGAGCTCTTATAAGGCTGGCCTGGTAGTATCAGGTTCACTCAGAGCTTGCTTCTCTGGAAAAGCTTTCATTTCCCCTTTGCTTATGAGGCTTAGTTTGCCAGGATATGAAATTCTTGATTGGAATTTATTTTCTTTAAGAATGCTGAAAATAGGTCCCTAAGCTCTCCTGGCTTCTAAGGGTTTCTGCTGAGAAGTCCTCTGTTTACCTGAAGTGGTTCCCTTTGTACATGATTAGACCTTATCCTATAGCTGCCTTTATGATATTTTCTTTAGCTCTGACCTTGGACATTCTGGTGACTATATGCCTTTGGTGATGTTCATTTTGTATAGTATCTCACAGATGTTCTCTGAATTTTTTGTATCTGGATATCTACCTCTTTAGCAAGATTAAGAGAGTTTTCTTGAATTATTCCCTCAAATATGTTTTCCAGGTTCTTTTCTTTTTCTCCTCTGTCAGGAATGTCTATAATTCATCACCTTACATAATGTTATATTTCTCAAAGACTGTGCTTATTTTTTTTTTAATTTTTGTCTAACTGGGTTAATTCAAAAGACTGGTGTTCAAGCTCTGAAATCCTTTCTTCCATTTGGCCCACTCTATTGATAAAGGTTTTCATTGTATTTTGAATTCCTTAAGTGAGTTTTTCAATTCCAGAAGCTCTGACTGATTTCTTTTTAAGATATTTATCTCTTCCTTCATTTCCTGGATTTCTTTAGAAGTTTCTGTGTATTGATTTTTTAGCCTTGTCTTGGATCTCATTGAGCTTCCTTGCAATCCATATTTTGAATTTTGCATTCTTTATCTGTCATTTCTGAGTTTCTATTTCGGTGAGGGATCACTGCTGGAAAGCTAATGTGATCCCTTGATGGTATCAATAAATACAGATTTTTCATGGTGTTATAACTATTTTTTCTTTCTTTTTTTTTTTTTTTTTTTTGAGTCAGAGTCTCACTCTGTCGCCCAGGCTGGAATGCAGTGGTGTGATCTCGGCTCACTGCAAGCTCCACCTCCCAGGTTCACGCCATTCTCCTGCCTCAGCCTCCCGAGTAGCTGGGACTACAGGTGCCCGTCACCACACCCGGCTGATTTTTTGTATGTTTAGAAGAGATGGGCTTTCACCATGTTAGCCAGGATGGTCTTGATCTCCTGACCTCGTGATCCACCCGCCTCGGCCTCCCAAGGTGCTATAATTCTTGAGCTGTTTTTTGTCTCATCTGGAGATGCTGGCATTTCTAATTTTTGTCTTTATTTTCATGCAGGTAGAATTTTTTTCTTTTTCTTTCTTTTCCTGTATTATTATTTATTTATTTATTTTTCCTTTTCCCATCTTCCTGTGGGGGGGTATGACTGTAGAGAATGCTAAGTAGGGTTTTTTGGTTTTGTTTCTATAGCCCTACACACTACTTTGGGCAGACTTTACACTGGGCTGTTCATTTCTACCTACAAGCCAATAGTTGGTGCTTACAGGTAAGAGCTGGCTACAGCCAATGTGCCTGGATGTATACTGATCCTTGTTTACTGGCCAAAGCTCTCTGTTGCCTCAGGCAATGGGCTGATTTATGAAGGTACAGTGGTCTGAGCTCCCTGATCATGAAGGACACAGTCAGACCAGGTAGGTCCACCTACAGATCCTTCAATGGCAGGCACAAGCACCAGCCTTAGGGAGAATTCAGTGGGCAGCCACCAAAAACCTAGATGTGGGCCTAGGCCAGGAGCTGGGAAACCTCCTCAACCCCAAATTCTCTGCAGGGGGTTAAAGAGCAGCCTAAACTCCCAATCCAGGAGAGTGAGTGCTCCAGATGCCTCGAGATCTGCCTGGGTATGCAGCAGTTAAGGCCCCCTGCACTAGGATCTATGTCCAGGAAGGGTGGGGAAGTGCAGACTGCTGAAC
The DNA here is from genome assembly GCF_000001405.40 of Homo sapiens. NCBI lineage: Eukaryota > Metazoa > Chordata > Mammalia > Primates > Hominidae > Homo > Homo sapiens. Next base: position 163,144,052 of record NC_000005.10, read on the forward strand.
CAAATGAGTGGGTAGAGTATTTTTTATTCTTTGACTGAAGGGGTGCATGACTTAACCCTTGCCTAGCACAGCCTTAGGTCTTGTTTATAATTTGGTATTTTATTGCCACAAGAGCCGGTTCTGTCAGTCTTATGATCTCTACTTTACCATTAATGCCAATCACTTGTGTCTAAATGATAAAAGAGAGGGGGTATAACAAAGCATGTCTGACCTCCCATCCCATCATGGCTGGGAACTCTGCTTTAAGGTTTCTCTGGGGTCCCCTTGGCCACAAAAGGGGGTCCATTCAGTCACTGGCGGCTTAGAATTTTATTTTAACCTTACAACACTATTTCCCAGAATTCTCCAGAGGTACTAAGGTTTAGTCACTGACAGCAGAAGCTACCTTTATAGTCCTCCCAACATCGGCTACCCCCATTTCCATGACTCTCTTCCCCTCCTCCCTACCCACGTTTCCTGCACCTGCCAAATAAACTACTTGTACTCAAATCCTTGTCTTGTCTCAGGATCTGCTTCTGGAGGGAGAGATCCAGACAAAGACTACCAGAAAAAGACTGATCTATTGTGAAAGCATATCTTCCAATTAAATTATGATTTTACCTTTACTACCCCACTTATATACACACTCACATTCTTTGCTCAAAATAAGAAACAACCTTGGCAAGAATCTTGTATCTACAATCCAGAAAGTGATAACCACTTAAAAAAAAATAAATAAGTAAACAAATAAATAAACACGGATGTGAGATTGAATGCCCACCCTGGCAGCAAAGAACACGGCAGATACTTTTTCCACAAATGATGACATTAAGGCTTGCGGGAAGGGAGCCAGTCCTTTAATTACCATTTTCCCTACTTTTAGGAGAATCTTGAAGATAAAGACTTGAATAAGTATGCTTTAGCAAGATAGGTGTGATTAAGGGTACATTCTGCTCAGCACTAATTCTGAGTCTGAAAGCAAAATTTTGGCAGAGACACACCATGTGTACTGTCTTTCAGGAGTTCAGAAATAATGAAAAGAGGTATGTTGGAGATTCTCTAAAAGAAGAAAAAGAAAACTGCCATTATCCCAATTATACTTGTAGCATAAAGTTCAAATCAAAGGCAAACTTCAAATTTTAGAGTAATTAAAGAGGTAATTGCAGTTAAAATATTTTGGTTCATATATGTGGAAGTAAAAATTGCTTTATAATATTTTGGTTCATATATGTGGAAGTAAAAAAAAATTATTCCCTTCCCATGAGAAGGGAACAGAAAATATGTCTGTTTCCACATTGCTGAATCATTCATGAACAAACTACAGATTATCAGGTATGTTGCTTTTATCTGGCTTGACTTTTAGGGAATCAATCACAGTAATAAGCCTGATCCTACATAAAACTAATTCTGAATGAGAAAATGAAAATTTTATGCTTGACTGATGCTTGATGTACTTAGCACCCAGTTATAAAGAATTTGGTCTTTTTTTTTTCTTTTTGCTCGTCTTCTTTTCCGTTTCTCTTCTCTACTCTATTTCAATGGGAATTTTCACGATAAACTCAGTCCCCAGGATTTTATCTTTCTAAATCTGGAGACCATTTATAGTGATATCTAACGGAGGAAAGAGGATGTTTTAAAAAATAGTAGATGCATGGCTTGGGGTTTCATAAGACAGGGAGTAAAGAGAGAGAATTAGAGCATCAGAGACCTCAGTAGCATATTAAAACCTGGGAGATGACAGGAGATTTTATAAAGGGATGTCGTTTTATAAAACTGTGATTCAAACACAAGTCACTCAAATACTAACCTGAAAGTAGAATATAGTAAGTATAGTCTGGAATACTAGGCTAAGATGCTTGTCCTGTCCCTTTCTATCCAGAACATACATACAATGGTGCCAATGGTCTCCAGAGCACTAACAGGACAATTTTGAATACTTCATTAGATAACCCAAACCACCAAACAGGCATTAAGCTATCATTTTCCAATCAACCACATTATCTTTTCTGTCTCTAAAAGATGGATATTTAAAGAGAGAGAATGTGTATATTCTATCTTGGGAAAAGTGGTAATTTTATTTCAGCTTTATGTACATCATTAAGTTGATGGGAATTATGAAGACCTAAATTACATATGCGAGCCATTTCAGGCACTGGGCCCTCTGGTAGGAAGAGGCAGCCATCAAATCAGTCAGTTCAAGTCATCCTTGACATTAATAAGGTGGCTAGCTATGATCACTTTAATAAATGACTTTCTGCTCCTATTAGCTGAGCGACTATACTCTAGCTCCTGTTCCCGAAGCATGTCACCAAACTAGTCTCCCAAAAAGTGTATTTAAAGGATACAACATTTTTTCAGTGTTTGTATTCAAATAAAAGCTTAAAATTTTAGGAGTCCCGGGCAAGATGGCTGAATGGGAACATCCTCAGTCTGCAGCTCCCAGTGAGACCAACGCAGAAGGCAGTTATTACTGCACTTCCAACTGAGGTACCTGGCTTATCTCATTAGGACTGGCTACACAGTGGGTGCAGCCCATGGAGGGTGAGCAGAGGCAGGGTGTGGCATCACCTCACCCAGGAAGCACAAGGGGTCAGGGAACTCCCTCCCCTAGCCCAGGGAAGCCATGAGGGATTGTGCTGTGAGGGATGGTGCTATCCAGCCCAGATACTACACTTTTCCCACTGTCTTTGCAACCCACAGACCAGGAGATTCTTTCAGGTACCTACACCAGCAGGACCCTGGGTTTCGAGCACAAAGCTGGGCAGCCCATTTGGGCAGACACTCAGCTAGCTGCAAGAGTTTTTTTGTTTTTTTCATACACAGTGGTGCCTTGAACGCCAGTGAGACAGAACTGCTCACTCCCCTGGAAAGGCAGCTGAAGTGAGGGAGCCGAGTGCTCTTGCTCAGGGGATCCCACTCCAACAGAAACCAACAAGCTAAGATCCACTGGCTTTAAAATCTTGCTGCCAGCACAGCAGTCTGAAGTCGACCTGGGACACTCGAGCTTGATGTGGGGAGGGGTGTCCACCATTACTGAGGCTTGAGTAGGCAGTTTTCCCCTCACAGTGTAAACAAAGCTGCCAGGAAGTTCAGACTGGGCATAGCCCACTGCAGCACCACAAAGCCACTGTAGCCAGACTGCCTCTCTAGATTCCTCCTCTCTGGACAGTGCATCTCTGAAAGAAGGGCAGCAGCCCCAGTCAGGGGCTTACAGATAAAACTCCCATCTCCCTGGGACAGAGCACCTGGGGGTAGGGATGGCTGTAGGTGCAGCTTCAGCAGACTTAAACATTCTTGCTTGCCGGCTCTGAAGAGAGCAGCAGATCTCCCAGCACAGTGCTCAAGCTCTGCTAAGGGACAGACTGCCTCCTCAAATGGGTTCCTGAACCCCATGCCTCCAGACAGGGAGACACCTCCCAGCAGGGGTCAAAAGACACCTAATACAAGAGAGCTCCAACTGGCATCTGACAGGTGACCCTCTGGGACGAAGCTTCCAGAGGAAGGAGCAGGCAGCAATCTTTATGTTCTGCAGCCTCTGCTTGTGATACCCAGGCAAACAGGTTCTGGAGTGGGCCTCCAGCAAATTCCAGCAGACCAGCAGAAGAGAGGCCTGACTGTTAAAAGGAAAACTAACACACAGAAAGCAATAGCATCAACATCAACAAAAAGGATGAACACTCAAAAACCCCATGCAAAGGGAACCAACATCAAAAACCAAAGGTAGACAAATCCACCAAGTTGAGGAGAAACCAGTACAAAAAGGCTGAAAACTCCAAAAACCAGAATGCCTCTTCTCCTCCAAAGGATCACAACTCCTCACCAGCAAGGGAACAAAACTGGATGGAGAATGAGTTTGATGAACTGACAGAAGTAGGCTCTGGAAGATGGGTAATAACAAACTCCTCCAAGCTAAAGGAGCATGTTCTAACCCAATGCAAGGAAGCTAAGAACCTAGATAAAAGGTTACAGAAACTGCTAACTAGAATAACCAGTTTAGAGACGAACATAAATGACTTGATGGAGCTGAAAAACACAGCATGAGAACTTTGTGAAGCAGACACATGTATCAATAGCTGAATTGACCAAGTGGAAGAAAGGATATCAGAAATTGAAGATCAACTTAATAAAATAAACCCTGAAGACAAGATTAGAGAAAAAAGAATGAAAGGAATGAACAAAGCCTTCAAGAAATATGGGACTATGTGAAGAGACCAAACCTACGTTTGATTGGTGTAGCCAAAAGTGATGGGGAAAATGGAACCAAGTTAGAAAACACTCTTCAAGATATTATCCAGGAGAACTTCCCCAATCTAGCAAGATAGGCCAACATTCAAATTCAGGAAATATGAAGAACACCACAAAGATACTCCTTGAGAAGAGCAACTCCAAGACACATAATTGTCAGATTCAGAAAGGTTGAAATGAAGGAAAAAATGTTAAGGGCAGCCAGAGAGAAAGATCAGGCTACCCACAAAGGGAAGCGCATCAGACTAACAGCAGATGTCTCTGCAGAAACCCTACAAGCCAGAAGACAGTGGGGACCAACATTCAACATTCTTAAAGAAAAGAATTTTCAACCCAGAATGGTATATCCAGCCAAATTAAGCTTCGTAAGTGAAGGAGAAATAAAATCCTTTACAGACAAGCAAATGCTGAGGGATTTTGTCATGACCAGGCCTGCCTTACAAGAGCTCCTGAAGGAAGCACTAAATATAGAAAGGAAAAACCAGTACCAGCTACTGCAAAAACAAACCAAATTGTAAAGACCATCAACACTATGAAGAAACTGCATCACCTAATGGGCAAAATAACCAGCAAGCATTATAATGACAGGATCAAATTCTCACATAACAATGTTAACGTTAAATGTAAATGGACTAAATGCCTCAATTAAAAGACAGACTGGCAATTGGATAAAGAGTCAAGACCCATCAGTGTGCTGCATTCAGGAGACCCATCTCATGTGCAAAGACACACATAGGCTCAAAATAAAAGGATGGAGGAAGATTTACCAAGCAGTTGGAAAGCAAAAAAACAAAGTAGGGGTGTCAATCCTAGTCTCTGATAAAAAAGACTTTAAACCAACAGAGATCAAAAGAGACAAAGAAGTCCATTACATAATGGTAAAGGGATCAATGCAACAAGAAGAGCTAACAATCTTAAATATATATGCACTCAATACAGGAGTACTCAGATTTATAAAGCAAGTTCTTAGAGACTTACAAAGAGACTTATACTTCAACACAATAATAGTGGGAGACTTTAACATCCCACTGTCAATGTTAGACAGATCAACGACACAGAAAATTAACAAGGATATTCAGGACTTGAACTCAGCTCTGGACCAAGAAGACCTAATAGACATCTACAGAACTCTACACCCCAAATCAACAGAATATACATTCTTCTCAGCACCACATAGCACTTATTCTAAAATTGACCACATAATTGAAAGTAAAACACTCCTCAGCAAATGCAAAAGAATGGAAATCATAACAAACAGTCTCTCAGACCACAGTGCAATCGAATTAGAACTCAGGATTAAGAAACTCACTCAAAACTGCACAACTACATGGAAACTGAACAACCTGCTCCTGAATGACTACTGGATAAATAACAAAATTAAGGCAGAAATAAATGAGTTCTTTGAAACCAATGAGAAAAAAAGACACACGTACCAGAATTTCTGAGACACACCTAAAGCAGTGTTAAGAGGGAAATTTATAGCACTAAATGCCCACAGGAAAAAGCGGGAAAGATCTAAAATGAACACCCTAACATCACAATTAAAAGAACTAGAGAAGCAAGAGCAAACAAATCGAAGAGTTAGCAGAAGACAAGAAATAACTAAGATCAGAGCAGAACTGAAGGAGTCAGAGACACGAAAAACCCTTCAAAAAAATCAATGAATCCAGGCGCTGGTTTTTTGAAAACATTAACAAAATAGATAGATTGCTAGCCAGACTAATAAAGAAGAAAAGAGAGAAGAATCAAATAGACACAATAAAAAATGATAAAGAGGTTATCACCACTGATCCCACAGAAATACAAACTACTATCAGAGAACAGTATAAACACCTCTATGCAAATGAACAAGAAAATCTAGAAGAAATGGATGAATTCCTGGACACATATACACTCCCAAGACTAAACCAGAAAGAAGTCAAATCCCTGAATAGACCAATAACAAGTTCTGAAATTGAGGCAGTAATTAATAGCATACCAATCAAAAAAAGCCCAGGACCAGATGAATTCACAGCCAAATTCTACCAGAGGTAGGAAAAGGAGCTGGTACCATTCCTTCTAAAACTATTTCAAGCAGTAGAAAAAGAGGTACTCCTCCCTAACTCTTTTTATGAGGCCAGCATCATCCTAATACCAAAACCTGGCAGAGACACAACAAAAAAGAAAATTTCAGGCCAATATCCGTGATGAACATCAATGTGAAAATCCTCAATAAAATACTGGCAAACCAAATCCAGCAGCACATTAAAAAGCTTATCCACCACAATCAAGTCAGCTTCATCCCTGGGATGCAAGGCTGGATCAACATATGCAAATCAATAAACGTTATTTCTCACATAAACAGAACCAATGACAAAAACGACATGATTATCTCAATAGATGCCAAAAAGGCCTTCGATAAAATTCAACAGCCCTTCATGCTAAAAACACTCAATAAACTAGGTATTGATGGAATGTATCTCAAAATAATAAGAGCTATTTATGACAAACCCACAGCCAATATCATACTGAATGGGCAAAAGCTGGAAGCATTCCCTTTGAAAACTGGAACAAGAGAAGGATGCCTTCTCACCACTCCTATTCAACACAGTATTGGAAGTTCTGGCCAGGGCAATCAGGCAAGAGAAAGAAATAAGGGGTACTCAAATAGGAAGAGAGGAAGTCAAATTATCTCTACAGATGACATGATTGTATATTTAGAAAACCCTGTCTCAGCCCAAAAACTCCTTAAGCTGACAAGGAACTTTAGCAAAGTCTCAGGGTACAAAATCCATGTGCAAAAATCACAACCATTCAGATACACCAATAATAGACAAACAGAGAGCCAAATCATGAGTGAACTCCCATTCACAATTGCTACAAAGAGAACAAAATACCTAGGAATACAACTTACAGGAGAGGTGAAGGACCTCTTCAAGGAGAACTACAAACCACTGCTCAAGGAGGTAAGACAGAACACAAACAAATGGAAAAACAGTCCATGCTCATGGATAGGAAGAATCAATATCATGAAAATGGCTGTACTGCCCAAAGTGATTTACAGATTCAATGCTATTCCCATCAAGCTACCATTGACTTTCTTCACAGAATTAGAAAAAAGTATGTTAAATTTCATGTGGAACCAAAAAAAAGCCCATATAGCCAAGAAAACCCTAAGCAAAAAGAACAAAGCTGGAGCCATCACACTACCTGACTTCAAACTGTACTACAAGGCTACTGTATCCAAAACAGCTTGGTACTGGTACCAAAACAAATATATAAACCAATGGAACAGAACAGAGGCCTCAGAAATAACACCACACATCTACAATGATCTGATCTTTGACAAACCTGATGAAAACAAGCAATGGGAAAAGGATTCCCTATTTAATAAATGCTGTTGGGAAAACTGGCTAGCCATATGCAGAAAACTGAAACAGGACCCCTTCCTTACACCTCATACAAAAATTAACTCAAGATGGATTAAAGACTTAAATGTTAGGCCTAAAACCATAAAAAATCCTAGAAGAAAACCTAGGCAATGCCATTCAAGCATGGGCAAAGACTTCAAGACTAAAACACCAAAAGCAATGGCAACAAAAGCCAAAATTGACAAATGGGATCTAATTAAACTAAAGAGCTTCTGCACAGCAAAGGAAACTATCAGCAGAGTGAACAGGAAACCTACAGAATGGGAGAAAATTTTTGCAATCTACCCATCTGGCAAAGGGCTAATATCCAGAATCTACAAGGAACTTAAATTTACAAGAAAAAAAAAAGCCCATCAAAAAGTAGGTGAAGGATATGAACAGACACTTTTCAAACTAAGACACTTATGCGGCCAATAAATATACGAAAAAAAGCTCATCATCACTGGTCATTAGAAAAATACAAATCAAAACCACAACGAGATACCATCTCACGCCAGTTAGAATGGTGATCATTAAAAAAAGTCAGGAAACAACAGATGCTGGAGAGGATGTGGAGAAATAGAAATGCTTTTACACTGTTGGTGGGAGTGTAAATTAGTTCAACCATTGTGAAAGACAGTGTGGCGATTCCTCAAGGATCTAGAAATAGAAATACCATTTGACCCAGCAATCCCATTACTGGGTATATACCCAAAGGATTATAAATCATTCTACTATAAAGACACATACACAGGTATGTTTATTGCATCACTATTCACAATAGCAAAGACTTGGAACCAACCCAAATGCCCATCAATGTTAGGCTGGATAAAGAAAATGTGGCACATATACACCATGAAATACTACGCAGCCGTAAAAAATAATGAGTTCAGGCCAAGCGCTGTGGCTCATGCCTGTAATCCCAGCACTTTGGGAGGCCTCACGAGGTCAGGAGTTCGAGACCAGCCTGGCTAACATGATGAAACCTTGTCTTTACTAATGATACAAAAAATTAGCCAGGCATGGTGGCACATGCCTGTAATTCCAGCTACTTGGGAGGCTGAGGCAGGAGAATCGCTTGAACCTGGGAGGCAGAGGTTGCAGTGAGCTGAGATTGTGCCATTGCACTCCAGCCTGGTTGACAGGAGGAGACTTTGTCTCAAAAAAAAAAAAAAAAAAGAATGAGTTCATGTGTTTGCAGGGACATGGATGAAGCTGGAAACCATCATTCTCAGCAAACTAACACAGGAACAGAAAACCAAACACTGCATGTTCTCACTCATAAGTGGGCATTGAACAATGAGCACATATGGGCACAGGGAGGGGAACATCACACACTGGGGCCTGTCGGGGGTTGGGAGATAAGGGTAGGGATAGCATTAGGAGAAATCCCTAATGTAGATGATGAATTGATAGGTGCAGCAAACCACCATGGCACATGTATACCTATGTGACAAACCTTCACATTCTGCACATGTATCCCAGAACTTAAGTATAATAAAAATTATTATTATTATTATTATTATTATTATTATTATTTGAGACGGAGTCTTGCTCTGTCACCCAGGCTGGAGTGCAGTGGCATGATCTCAGCTCACTGCAACCTCCGCCTCCTGGGTTCATGCCACTCTCCTGCCTCAGCCTCCCGAGTAGCTAGGACTACAGGGGCCCGCCACCATGCCTGGCTAATTTTTGTTTTTGTTTTTGTTTCTGTTTTTGTTTTTAGTAGAGACAGGGTTTCACCATGTTAGCCAGGATGGTCTCAATCTCCTGACCTCATGATCTGCCTGCCTCGGCCTCCCAAAGTGCTGGGATTACAGGCATGAGCCACCGCGCCTGACCAATAAAAAATTTTTTAAGGGCAAGAATATTAGAAAAAAATTGGACCCGTGACTCAGTATCTCTTCAGTAGAAGTAGTAATCAAGGCAAATGTTTACTGTTAGGTTTGTTGAACATAGATGTGTGGACAGAAGCTTAATGTCCGTGCAATCTGTTTCCAGTGCATTAGCCATTACATTACAAAAAACAAACAAAATTCTTTCTTGTTTAAAATGTGTTCCCCATGCTCAGAATCAATCTTGATCAACAGACTGCAGTATAATTTGATGGTTCAGAGATGAGAAGATTATGGACATATTTCAGTTAAAAAACAAATAGAGAGAAGACAACTTAATGCATTATGCATCTAACAATGTTTCTGAAAAACATTTAGGAGTTCTCCAAGTCAATTCTGCACAGAGTCTTGGTCTACATTGCCAAACAATATAATATAGATGAATTACTTACGGAGAAGCTATAGGAAAACTTCTGTTTTTTCACATAACAAACTCTTTGTTAAAACATTATTTATTTATTTATTATCTTTTTTTTTTTTTTTTTTTTTTGAGACAGAGTCTCACTCTGTCACCCAGGCTGGAGTGCAGTGGCACCATCTCATCTCACTGCAATCTCTGCCTCCCGGGTTCATCGGTTCACCTGCCTCAGCCTCCCAAGTAGCTGGGATTACAGGCACGTGCCACCATGACCGGCTAATTTTTATATTTTTGGTAGATACAGGGTTTCGCCATGTTGGCCAGGCTGGTCTCAAACTCCTGACCTCAGGTGATCCACCCACCTCAGCCTCCCAAAGTGCTGGGATTACAGGTGTGAGCCACTGTACCCAGCCAATAAATTCTTAATATATATTTAAAAGTTGAGTGTGCAAAAATAAAATCATCTGTGTTTAATTCTAGCCCCACCAATTAAAAGATCCTGAATTACTTGACATCTCTCATTCAGACATTTATTCATTCAACAGATATTTATCATTTGCCTATTATGTTTGAGCCACTGTCCTAGGGTCTGGGAATACAGAAGTCAACAAAAGAGGCTCCAATTCCTGACTTTCACTTTTAAATGAGTGAGTTAATATAAGAGATTGCAGACAAACATACAGTATATTAAAATGTGAGAAATGATAGAAAGCAAAATAAGGAAAGCAGAGAATGGGTTATGAATTACTGAGGGATGGCATTTTAGATAGGGCCAGGTAAGGTGTCCCCCGAAGATGACTTTGGATGATGACCTGAAGGAAGTAAGGGAGCAAGTCATGCAGATAACCATCCAGGGAAAGGGCATTCCAAAGGTAGCAAGTACAAAAGCTCTGAGGCAAGACTGTGCCTCACAAGAAAAGAGGTGCAGATGGCGAGCACAGAAAAGTGAAGAGCAGAGTGGCAGAGGAGGTCAGAAAAATGGTAGGGTGGGGGCTAGGGGACAGACCATGAAGACCTCATAATACGCAGAGAGAATCTCAGAGGAAATAAGAAAGCCTTGGAGGTCTTTCAGAAGAGAAGTGATATGATCCGGCTTACATTTGATAGAAATAATAATAATTCATCCCCATAGGTTTACTGAAAGATTAAATAAGATAATTGATGTAAAATGCTTCCCTCAGAGCATGGCAAAAGGTAAACATAAAATATTCACCGCTGTAATTATTTTTGTTATCTAGATAGAGATTAGGAAAGCATAATCAAAAATAAAGTTGTTGTACAATATTATAGATTAGGTTTCTTATTTTTTTATTTTGCTTTTATCCTTCAAAAATTAGATCAATAACCCAAGGGGAGAAAGAGAAATAACAAGGATATGCTTTAGTTCAAAGACCAAGTGAAGAAAATTTCTGAAACAATAAAGTCTTATTTTTAAAATGGAGGAAGAAACTTAAAGGTACAAAAGAGAGGGAAATTAAAGTTTCCAGGTAAACCTCTCAATATTCGAAGCACATAAATAATTGGAAATCTTATTGAGGCAATTTGAATTGATGTTTCTTCTAACTTAGGCCTAGGAAGTAGCATCAAAATGTGTTTGGATGACTTCAGCAAAGAGTTTTACTTAATAAATAGAAAGAATTTGTTGTAAATAGATTCGAAGAAATATACTAATAGACTTCCCTGCTGGCTGAGCAAGATTACTTTAGTAAAGCAAGGCAAAAGATACTATTGCCTACTTAAACATTCTGGCATAAAAAATAATACAGAAGCTGGGCTTCAGAGAAAAAAACAAACAGATCATGCTCAAAACATCATGGGAAACAAAGTCTATCATATTTCTTCCAATAAATCATCACAAGGGTACAATAGGCACAAATGATATGAAGAATGGAGAGGGATTTTTGATTTGAACTTTCAGAGAACCTTGCAGGATCTTATTTCACACAGAGCCCACAGAATAGTATATTATATCTTTCATTTTTATATCGTTTTATGTATTTTGCTCCTTTAAAAAGAATTTATCGATTACCTATTATGTGCAAGGGGCTGTGGAAAATAGAAAATTGTGTAAGACATGGTACTTTCCTCCCAAGAAACTCACATTACAGCAAAGGATGACGAGGCATAGACTATATTTCACTGGACATAAGGCACCATGAATTTAAGTTAAACCAAAATAAGAAATTCATAGAAAAAAGAAAATCTAACTATACATAGGATTTTAAAAACATACTCCAATTTCAGAAACATTGAAATAGGAAACGCATACATTTATATACAAAGCAGTTATATAAATATCTACCCAAGAGGAAGCATAAGGAACAAGGATACTTTTTTAAAAAATGTTTTCATTTCCATAGGTTATTGGGGAACAGGTAGTGTTTGGTTACATGAGTAAGTTCTTTAGTGGTGATTTGTGAGACTTTGGTGCACCCATCACCTGAGCAGTAAACACTGCCACTCAATTTGTAGTATTTTATCTCTCACCCATTGCCCACCCTTTCCCCCTGAGTCCCCAAAATCCATTGTCTTTCTTATGCCTTTGCATCCTCATAGATTAGCTCCCACTTATAAATGGGAACATACAATGTTTGGTTTTCCATTCCTGAGTTACTTTACTCAGAATAATACTCTCCAATCTCATCCAGGTTGCTGTGAATGTCACTAAGTCATTCCTTTTTATGGCTGAGTAGTATTTCATCATATATATATACACCACAGTTTCTTTATCCACTTATTGATTGATGGGCATTTGGGTTGGTTCCACATTTTTTGCAACCCTTCCAGACATTGGCTTAGGCAAGGATTTCATGACCAGGAATCCAAAAGCAAATACAATAAAAACAAAGATAAATAGCTGGGACTTGATTAAATTAAAAAGCTTTTGTATGGCAAAAGGAACAGTCAGCAGAGTAAACAGACAACCGACAGAGTGGGAGAAAATCTTCACAATCTATATATCTGACAAAGGACTAATATCCAGAATCTACAATGAACTCAAACAAATTAGCAAGGATGCTTTTTGAAATTGTTAGGTGCCATAGCAGTACAAAGAAAAAAGATATTAATTACTATTGGGTCAGATGGATAGCAAAACCCAGATGATGTTAATATTTCAGCTGGGTTTTAAAAAGAGAGATAGAAATTCTATCATGGCAATGCTGGGTGAGAAATGCATTCCAGGCAGAGGAAATAGCACATGTAGAGGCACAGAGTAAAAATTAATTTCACAGAAGAGCAGTCATAATGCTGGGCACGGTGGCTCACATCTGTAATCTCAGCACTTTGGGAGGCCGAGTTGGGTGGAACACGAGGTCAGAAGTTCAAAACCAGCCTGACCAACATGATGAAACCCTGTCTGTACTAAAAATACAAAAATTAGCCAGGCATAGTGGTGCACCCCTGTAATACCAGCTATTCAGGAGGCTGAGGCAGGAGAATCACTTGAACCTGCGAGGTGGAAGTTGCAGTGAGCTGAGATCGCGCCACTGAACTCCAGCCTGGGTGACAGAGTAAGACTCCGCCTCAAAAAAACAAAAAAAAGAAAGAAGACCAGCCATAAAATCAGACTGACTGGAGAAGGTTTGTGTTAGACCCAGTTCTAGAGGGCTTTAAATGCTAGATAAAAGATTGTTAAACATTGCCCTGCCAGAAACTAATAAGTTTTAAAAGTAGAGGGCAATTGCTCTCCTATACGTGGTTAAGGAAGATTAACAAAACAGCCGTCCACAGTGGGCTGTAGGGAAGCTTGTCTTCAGAGTGGGACACCAGTGAGGAATCTTTCATAATAATATAGGGAAGAGGTGCCAAACTGAACCAGGGAGGCTAAAATGTGGGTTGAAAAGAAATGGATGTGCCTCTCCCTTTATAGTGCTTTTACTTACATGTGATACACAGTAATGTGGCACAGGAAGAATAATAACTAACTTAGATTCTGATAAAGACATCAAGATAGAACATGTGTGAATTTTTTTTAACTATATGTAGGTAGAGGCAGAATCAGCCACAGAAAACAATTTCACTGCCTCAGAGGGCAGATCTGTTATTCTCTTCTCAGCATATTACCTAACTCTCATGGAGGTTTCTGGTCAAGAATTAAAAAATGAATATTTTAGGAGAAATTGAATATTACAACTTAAGTGCTTCACCAAAGATGACTACAGTGACTCAGCAGTTCAATGTTATTCCACTGTTGACATTTTTGTGACTGTGACAGTTTGTAATGGCATTTCGTCCACACCCAACCTGTGGCCATGTAATCAGTAGTTTATAGTTGGTGACTTCATGGGACGAGCCATGAACCAAAATTTTGGCTAATTTATTAAGCAAGATTGAATTTAGGAGCAAGGAGACTCAGTCAGGGCCTCCAAGGATGGCCAGTAGGTTGTATCCTGCACATGGCACTCAGCTGAAGGGGTGAGCAGGAGCAGGTTCTGCTTCCCAAGCCACGCACGCTGTGGCAGGGTTGCTTCATTTTTCTCAATGACCCACGTGGAAGGCCAAGTAGTCTAGGCCAAGGAGACTTCTGGAGGGAAAAGGAGAGTCACAATGGAGAGTACCAGAGGGGAGCCAGGACCAGATCTGCATTTTGGAAGAGCTCCCCTACCCCCAGAGAGGAATCAGAGGAGGGAATCCATATTTTCTATTTCAAAAAATAAAATCTTTCTGAAAGAGACTGGACATGTACACATCATCAAAGAAATTTTGTTTCACACATCATCAAAAGAAATTTTATTTAACACTAATAGACTAATTACCAATTAAAATGGACTAACTTCTCCAAGCATCACTTAGATACTGAACATTAGTTCTCACTTTCCAAAGAACTCCTTCCTTTGATATTTTGGTACAGTAGATTTAAAAACGATGACCAAAAATGATGGAACAATATCAGAATCACCTTGGGTGCTTCATATTTCAGATTATGAATCAGTAGGACTGGATTCAGATGTGAAAATATGTGGCAACCAGATTTTGGAAATACTGCTTCAAGGCATACTGTGACCAATAAATAGTTCACATGCAACTCATGAGAATAAATTAGTTTTTACCTTTAAATGCCATAATAGCTTCCATTTTTCAATGTATTTCATGCCATTCTTTCCCAAGCAACCAACCTCTATCTTTCAAGATAATTATATTAATGGTTGATACTAAATATATATGAAAACCATGTATTATTTTGTGTCTGACATCTTTTAAGATTATTCATGGTATAGTGTGCATCAGTAGTGTGTTCATTTTTATTGCTGAGCATAATAAAAAGGTTGGCAATGAAGGAGTAATCTTGATAACAAGTGAGATTTGTTTCAGTCATGAAAATTTTTCTTTTTCTTTTCTTTTTTTTTTTTTTTTTTGAGATAGAGTCTCACTCTGTTGCCCAGGCTGGTGTGCAGTGGCATGATCTCGGCTCACTGCAAGCTCCACCATCTGGGTTCACACCATTCTCCTGTCTCAGCCTCCCAAGTAGCTGGGATTACAGGTGCCTGCCACCACGCTTGGCTAATTTTTGTATTTTTTAGTAGAGACGAGGTTTCACTGTGTTAGCCAGGATGGTCTCGATCTCCTGACCTCGTGATCCACCTGCCTCAGCCTCCCAAAGTGCTGGGATTACAGGCAAAAATTTTTCTTGATTAGTAAATATTTACATATATAGGTACACACATTACACATGCTACAAACTTCATTTACAGTTTCAAGATTGTTATATTTGTATCTATAAGGTTTATGGTATAATTTATTGGCTTTGAGCAACTGTTGCATATTTAATGTCTCCCAAAAAGTGTTATTCAATGAAGAGAAGAAGAAAAAGGTCACTTTGGTCAAATTATTTGAAGGACGAACCTTTTAGATTATTGCATTGATAATGAATTTATTCCACTTCTCTAGTAAAATATCTTCAATACTTCTTGATTATTCTAGAGAAACAAACATAAATATCTGATAGGTATTTTGTATAAACTCTAAAAAGTCAACAGGGAAAGGACCAGAAAAAAATACTCCAAAGCAAATCCCCACAGACATTTTCTGTGAAGAGCCAGACAGTAATAGTTTAGGCTTTGTGGGCTATATGGTGTCTGTGACAACTCTGCCATTATGGCATGAGAGCAGTCACAGGCAAAATGTAAACGAATGAGCATGGCTATGTTCCAATAAAATTATATTTATAAAAACAGGCAATTAGCAGGTAAGAGATACCACTAAGCACCCACTATAGGGGCTAAAATACAAAACACTGTCAACACTAAATGCTGGCAAGAATGTGAAGCAACAAAATCTCTCACTCATTGCTGGTGTCAATGCACAATGGTACAACTGCTTTGGAAGACATCTTGACAGTTTCTTACAAAGCTAAGCATAGTATATTACCAAATGATCCAGCAATGGTCCTCCTAGATATTTACTTAAATAAGTTAAACACTAATGTTCATACAAAAACCTGCACACGGGTGTTTGTAGTAGCTTTATTCATGATCTCCAATAATGGGAAGCAATTAAGATAAACAACTTGTGATACAGTTGTACAATGGGATATTATTCAGCAATTAGAATAAATGTGCTATCAAATCTCAACTAGACATAGCAGAACCTTAAATGCATATTGCTAAGCGAAAGAAGCCAGTCTGAAAAGGCTACGTACTGTATGTTTCTCACTATATAACATTCTGCAAAAGTCAAACTAAAAGACAATGGTTACGGGTAGGGAGGGGAAGGATGAACAGGTGGAGCATGGGAGAATTTGACAGCAGTGAAGGTATTCCATATGACACTGTAATAGTGTGTACATGACATTATGCACTGGGAAACACCCATACAATGTACAACACAAAGAGTGAACCCTAATGTAAACTATGGACTTTAGTTAATAAAAATGCATCAATATTGGTTTACACATTTTAACAAATATACCAAAGGGAAGATATTAATAGCAATGGAAACTATGGTCTGGGTGGACAGAATATATGGGAACTCTATAGTTTCTGTTCAATTCTTTTGTAAACCTAAATCAGGTCTAAGGTCTAAGGAAAAAAAAAAACAGAAAACAGGCAATGAGCCCCATTTGGCCTGTGGGTTACAGTTTGCTGATACCTGTTCTAAAGAATGAAAACATCATCAGAGAACACTTGGAATTTCTGAAGTTGTCATTGCGAATTTCACTTACTCTGAGGAAATTCATTCAATGTGGCTTTCAGAATTTTTTTGGAAAAGGAGTCTTCTCATAATAGCCATCCTGACAATTACACTCATATGCTTATTTCTACAGCAGAAAGTTATCCATTATATCATCTTTTCATAGATGCCAACAGTTAAGCCTATCCTTGCTTCAGCATTAAGGGTCTTCCCCATAACCCAGCAGAACACCTGTGCTGGGAAACCTGGCATACCTTATTGCAAACATAAGCAGAGCTCAAGTTATGTCTCACCTACAGAGCTCAAGTTATGTCTCACCTAGGCTGCTGGAAAATTCTCCATGTGATTGGATACTTCATGGCTCTCTTTAATAGATTCATCTTTTATACTTTAGAAAGCTTCATCTTCTAGAGTTTTCACTTGTTATGTTACCACTAGTCACACAGGAAATAAACCTAACATTTATTTTTAGGTTCTATAAACTTAATCTTCCTCAATCTTCATGGATACTTACAGCAGAAATGTTTATTGCATTTTAAGATACTTAATAGAATATGAGTAGAATTTGTTTTACTCAAAATGATACATGTATTCTTGGTAACAATACCATAAATAATCTGTTTTACATTTAATGTGACATTAAAAATACATATTCAATGATGTCATTATTATTCTATATACTGAGTTGTTTTTGTTTGTGTTGCAAAATTATAGCAATAAAATTTACTTTAACTGCAATTGTGGATGCAATTATGACTTTTATTTTCTTATAATTTGCCATAAATCATAAATAATATAATGCCTATAAAAAGCACAGCTGTCCTTCTTGGGGAAAAAATGTTTTTTTATTCTTGTAATTAGAGTAGAATCTGTCAAAAGTCAAGAGTAGAATTTTAGCTAACTCGGCATCCCCCAGCTGCTGGGTGATATAGGATGTGTAAAAGCCTTGTTTTCCTTAGGAAAAAACTATAGCTGCTCTAAGAGTTTTAACATGCACAGTTTTGTCCCTTTTATATAATTTTCAACAGAGAATATACTGAGTAAAAGTGGTAAAGTAGTCAAACTTCAATCACGTAGCATGAGGATCATATTGGTTAGCTTGTAGGGGTAGGATGTCTGAGTTGAAATGAAATATTTTTCTTAATATTTGTAAACATAGCTACTTTCTGTCTATAAAAGACTGACAATGTTCTTTCCTGACCGTATCCATAAGTAGGCCAGCAGCCATCTTGAAAAGTGATGGATATGTATATTGTGGAGAGGGTAGAATAGAAAAGAGAGTAGCCAGAATATTCTTTTAAGTAGAAACAAGAGTATCTAAGTTATGAATTGAGTTTATCAAGTGTTCTGTTCTTGAGAAAGTATAAATAATCTTTAGAGGCATAATAGAGACATCTTAGACAACCAGCTATTTATCACATACAATGCCATCGCAGAAGCCAGCACATAAACAAAGCAAGGTTAAATACATAAGAATCCCTGTGCCATATAACTGCAGTTTGTCCTAATATCCTTTTTCTTTTTGTCTCTGGATTTGTATATGTGGGAGGAAGGCAAGGAGAGAATCAGAGCTTGCAAGGAGAATTTCGCCTTGTTATTTTGCTAATTTAATGTTCAGTATCTGGTCCACCTGCTGCTGTGCATGAGCTGCGGTGATCTGACACTGATCATGAAATGCTGATTGAAAAATAATGAAGAGTTGACTTTAGATTCAAATTCTTTGTGGGTGAACTAACAACATTCAAGCTTATTAGGACAAGTCAATAACTAACCAAATTTGTGCTTTTGAACTATTTTAACAGATGGCTGCTTTATCTGGTTTCATATATCTTTCATAAGCTCGAAAACTACTCATTTACATTTTCTTTACATCTTAGAAAATAATTGCTGTGGTTTTTCACTTTTTATTCTCTTATGCATTTAAGTTTCCATGTTGAAATTTTCGCCTGGACTTTTTCTACTTTACAGTGGCAAGATTAGAATAAGTTAGTAATAATTAAGTGTGAGCCAGAAGCATATGTAATTTTTAACATATGCCTTGGAAACTAAAGTTGCCTAAGGAAAACACTTATTTCCTCAACTGAAAAATGTGAGATTCTGAGTTTGTCAGAGTATCTTCTTATATAAGAAAATTTTTCAAAAGTTAGAAAAATTTTAAGGCAATAACATGATTTTTCTAATAGTGACAGTGACTTTCCATAACTGCAAACAGATATTTAAGCAACTATGACAAAGTCACATCTCAAAGGTGCTTATAGGGCAAAGTTTTTCAATGGCTCTATGCAATTTATACACCATCCTAAATTTAGAAATCTTTAACAAGTATCATATTTAATATGGTGCATTACACCAATATGGAAGTTATCCCAATCAGTAGATACTTTCCTCTCCTATTGTCTAACATAATCTACTTCTTCCAGAAACACTTGAAAGACTTTTTTTTTTTTAATGAACACTCTTCATTATTTTTCATTCACTGACAGGGCTTCCCTTTAATCAAGTATAATAACTGCTGCATGAAAGAAAGAGTAAGCCTTGATCTTTGAGAAGAAACATATAGGCACGTATGGTGAAGAGATGATTAATTAATTAAGTATTCAAAAAACTTCTTAAAAAATGGTAGCAGGTCTAAGAATATCATCATTACCATCTGAAAAAAACAAGCAAACTAGTTTCCTATACAAACTAGTTCAATGATTCTGCAGCCAATCAATAACATTACATCCAAAATTACCTGAAGTACTCAGAGAACAAAGCTTATTCTTCCTGTTACACTTCCCAAACACAAATAAAAACTAGGATGATGTGGTAGATTGTTTACATGAATAGTCCCAAATACTAGCTTCCCTATAACCAGGGTCTTTGCCCTTAACTGTATTCCTGTCTCACTGTGACTCTGGGATTGAACATTCGACTTGTTTTGCCCAATGGGATATTAGTCAATGTGTTGCAAACAGAGCAGAAGGCATGGATATTTCTGCTTGCTCTCCTGCATAATTGGGCTGACTCATTCCTGGAACTTACCACCACCAAATGAGCATGGCTAGGCAAGTCTGATGTAAAGATATGAGAGACTTAGGAGTAAAGTTTAGTTGTCCAAGCAAAAGTCACCCTAATCTCGATAGTCTCTTCTTAAACTGCAAGTTGACAGCAGATGTATGAACTGGCCCAGCTCAAAACAACCCAGTTTACACTGGCAGAATTATCCAGCCAAACTATAGACTCAAGAGAAATAATATATGCATGCATTTTAAACCTCTTTGTTTTGGGTTGATTTATTACCCAGAGTTCCATTTGGAGTAATAATGTTATACAACATGATAATGACAATAGATAATTGATACACCTAGTCATATTCATAAAACTCTTCCTAAAACCTTATTAATCTACTGTTTTGACTGAATATGCTAAGTAACTTAACACAGTAATTTTCTCCATTTCTCCCTTTCTCCCTCAATACTTTGAAATAAAATGCTTCATTACAGCTTTAAATATCTCTCTATTATTACTATTAATAATATGTACATTTCAGGTGTGACATGCTAGTTAACCAAAATTACTTATTCAGCTTCCAGGACAATGTTTCACAGTTACAGTACACCTTTTACCTAAAAGTAGTCTTAGACCCGAGGAGAAACTTCTAAAAAAGAGAAGGCTTAGTCTGAAAAATAAAATATTCCTAAGGGCTTTGGGTAAACAAACCAAACAACAAAGAAACAAAACCCTCTTCCAGAATATCAAATAAAATCTTACTTACTTTGAGTAATGCAAATTTCTTGCTAACATATTTTTCTCTTTTTGCATTTTCAACCAGACAGCTGAAGATAATTAGAAATCATCAATCTACTTATTTGTTGTTGTTACAAGTCAAACATCATTTTATAGGGACCCCCCACTTCTTGCCAAGTTTTCCACATCTTTCTCAAGGACAGTAGTACTAGATCAACATGAGCATACTCATCAGATAAAGTGAAATAATTAAATAAATAATTTTACCATGGGGGGCAGTCAAAGGTGGCCAAATAGGAACAGCTGTGGTCTGCAGCTCCCAGTGTGATTGACACAGAAGGTGGGTGATTTCTGCATTTCCAACTGAGGTACATGGTTCATCTCACTGGGACTCGCTGGACAGTGGGTGCAGCCCACAGAGGGTGAGCTGAAGCAGGGCGGGGCATTCCTTCACCCACAAAGTGTAAGGGGTAGGGGATTTCCCTTTCCTAGCCAAGGGAAGCCATGACAGACTACCTGGAAAATCGGGACACTCCTGCCCAAATACTGTGCTTTTCCCAAGGTCTTAGCAACCAACAGACAAGGTGATACTCTCCCATGCCTGGTCGGTGGCTCCCACGCCCAAAGAGCCTTGCTCACTGTAAATGCGGCAGTCCGAGATCAATCTGCGAGACAGCAGCCTGGCTGGGGGAGGGGCGTCCGCCATTGCTAAGGCTTGAGTAGGTAAACAAAGCCGCCCAGAAGCTCGAACTGGGAGGAGCACACCACAGCTCAACAAGGCCTACTGCCTCTAGACTCCACCTCTGTGGGCAGGACATAGCTGAACAGAAGGCAGCAGACAACTTCTGCACACTTAAACATCCCTGTCTGACAGCTCTGAAGAGAGCAGTGGTTCTCCCAGCATGGCATTTGAGCTCTGAGAATGGAAAGACTGCCTCCTCAAGTGGGTCTCTGACCCCCGTGAAGACTAACTGGGAGACACCTCCCAGTAGGGGCTGACAGACACCTCATATAGGCGGCTGCCCCTCTGGGACAAAGCTTCCAGAGAAAGGATCAGGCAGCAATATTTCCTGTTCTGCTTTGCTGTTCTGCAGCCTCCGCTGGTGATACCCAGGCAAACAGGGTCTGGAGTGGAAATCAAGCAAACGCCAACAGACCTGCAGCTGAGGGACCTGACCGTTAGAAGGAAAACTAACAAACAGAAAGGAATAGCAACAGCGTCAACAAAAAGGTCATCTACAGCAAAACCCCATCTGTAGGTCACCAATATCAAAGACCAAGAGTAGA
The DNA here is from genome assembly GCF_000001405.40 of Homo sapiens. NCBI lineage: Eukaryota > Metazoa > Chordata > Mammalia > Primates > Hominidae > Homo > Homo sapiens. Next base: position 163,166,065 of record NC_000005.10, read on the forward strand.
TAAAACTGCAAACATGGGGAGAAACCAGAGCAGAAAACCTGAAAATTCTAAAAATCAGAGCACCTCTTCTCCTCCAAAGGATTGCAGCTCCTCGCCAGCAACGGAACAAAGCTGGATGGAGAATGACTTGGACGTGTTGACAGAAGTAAGCTTCAGAAGGTTGGTAATAACAAACTTCTCCGAGCTAAAGGAGGATGTTCAAACCCATCATAAGGAAGCTAAAAACCTTCAAAAAAGATTAGATGAATGGCTAACTAGAATAAAGAGTGTAGAGAAGACGTTAAATGACCTGATGGAGCTGAAAACCATCACACAAGAACTTGGTGATGCATGCAAAGCTTCAATAGCCGATTTGATCAAGGGAAAGAAAGAGTATCAGTGATTGAAGATCAAATTAATGAAATAAAACGAGAAAACAAGGTTAGAGAAAAAAGAGTAAAAAGAAATGAACAAAGCCTTCAAGATATATGGGACTATGTGAAAAAAAAAAAATCTATGTTTGATTGGTGTACATAAAAGTGATGGGAAGAATGTAACCAAGGTGGAAAACACTCTTCAGGATATTATCCAGGAGAACTTGCCCAACCTAGCAAGGCAGGCCAACATTCAAATTCAGGAATACAGAGAACACCACAAAGATACTCCTCGAGAAGAGCAACTCCAAGACACATGATTGTCAGATTCACTAAGGTTGAAATGAAGGAAAAGTGTTAAGGGAAAGAAGAGAGAAAAGTCAAGTTACCCACAAAGGGAAGCCCATCAGACTAACAGTGGATCTCTCAGCAGAAACCCTACAAGCCAGAAGAGAGTGGGGGCCAATATTCAACATTCTTAAAGAAAAGAATTTTCAACCCAGAATTTCATATCCAGCCAAACTAAGATTCATAAGTGAAAGAGAAATAAAATCCTTTACAGAAAACCAAATGCTGAGAGATTTTGTCACCACCAGGCCTGCCCTACAAGAGCTCCTGAAGGAAGCACTAAACATGGAAAGGAACAACCGGTACCAGCCACTGCAAAAACAGGCCAAATTGTAAAGACCACTGATGCTATGAAGAAACCGTATCAATTAACGGGCAAAATAACCAGTGAACATCATAATGACAGGACCAACTTAACATATAACAATATTAACCTTAAATGTAAATGGTCTAAGTACCCCAATTAAAAGACACAGACTTGCAAATTGGATAAAGAATCAAGACCCATCATTGTGCTGCATTCAGGAGACCCATCTCACATGCAGAGGCACACATAGGCTCAAAATAAAGGGATGGAGGAAGATCTACCAAGCAAATGGAAAACAAAACAAAAAAAAAGCAGGGTTTGCAATCCCAGTCTCTATAAAACAGACTTTAAACCAACAAAGATCAAAAGAGACAAGGCCATTACATAATGGTGAAGGGATCAATTCAACAAGAAAAGCTAACTCTCCTAAATATATATGCACCCAATACAGGAGCACCCAGATTCATAAAGCAAGTCCAGAGAGACCTACAAGGAGACTTAGACTCTCACACAATAATAATGGGAGACTTTAACACTCCACTGTCAATATTAGACAGATCAATGAGACAGAAGGTTAACAAGGGTATCCAGGACTTGAACTCACCTCTGCACCAAGTGGACCTAATAGATGTCTACAGAACTCTCCAACCCAAACCAACAGAACATATATTCTTCTCAGCACCACATCACACTTATTTTAAAACTGACCACATAATTGGAAGTAAAGCACTCCTCAGCAAATGTAAAAGAACAGAAATCACAACAAACTGTCTCTCAAACCCAATCAAATTACAACTCAGGATTAAGAAACTCACTCAAAACTGCACAACTACATGGAAACTGAACAACCTGCTCCTGTATGACTACTGGGTAAATAATGAAATAAGGCAGAAATAAAGATGTTCTTTGAAACCAATGAGAACAAAGACACAACATACCAGAATATCTGGGACACATTTAAAGCAGTGTGTAGAGGGAAACTTATAGCACTAAATGCCCACAAGACAAAGCAGGAAACATCTAAAATCGACACGCTAACATCACAATTAAAAGATCTAGAGAAGCAAGAGCAAACAAATTCAAAAGCTAGCGGAAGGCTACAAATAACTAAGACCAGAGCAGAACTGAAAGAGATAGAGACACAAAAAACTTTCAAAAAAAATCAATGAATCCAGGAGCTGTTTTTTTGAAAATATCAACAAAATTGATAGACCTATACCCTGACTAATAAAGAAGAAAAGATAAAAGAAACAAATAGATGCAATAAAAAATTATAAACGGGATATCACCACCGATCCCACAGAAATACAAACTACCATCAGAGAATACTATAAACATTTCTATGCAAATAAACTAGAAAATCTACAAGAAATGGATAAACTCCTGCACAAATACACCCTCCCAAGACTTAACCAGGAAGAAGTTGAATCTCCAAATAGACCAATAACAGGCTCTGAAATTGAGGCAATAATTAACAGCCTGCCAACCAAAAAAAGTCCAGGACCAGACGGATTCACAGCCGAATTCTACCAGAAGTACAAAAACAAGCTGGTACCATTCTTTCTGAAACTATTCCAATCAATACAAAAAGAGGGAATCCTCCCTAACTCATGTTATGAGGCCAACATAATCCTGACATCAAAACGTGGCAGAGACACAACAAAAAAAGAGAATTTTAGACCAATAACCCTGATGAACATCAATGTGAAAATCCTCAATAAAATACTGGCAAATCAAATCCAGCAGCACATCGAAAAGCTTATCCACCAAGATCAAGTCAGCTTCATCCCTGGGATGCAAGGCTGGTTCAACATATACAAATCAATAAACATAATCCATCACATAAACAGAACCAAAGACGAAAACCACATGATTATCTCAATAGAAGCAGAAAGGCCTTCAACAAAATTCAACAGCCCTTCATGCTAAAAACTCCCAATAAAATAGGTATTGATGGAACGTATCTCAAAATAATAAGAGCTATTTATGACAAACCCACAGCCAGTATCATACTGAATGGGCAAACACTGGAAGCATTCCCTTTGAAAACCAGCGCAAGACAAGGATGCCCTCTCTCACCACTCCTATTCAACATGGTGTTGGAAGTTCTGACCAGGGCAATCAGGCAAGAGAAAGAAATAAAGGGTATTCGATTAGGAAATGAGGAAGTCAAAGTGTCCCTGTTTGCAGATGACATGATTGTATATTTAGAAAAGCCCATTGTCTCAGCCACAAACCTCCTTAAGCTAATAAGCAACTTCAGCAAAGTCTCAGGATACAAAATCAATGTGCAAAAATCACAAGCATTCCTATACACCATTAACAGACAAACAGAGAGCCAAATCATGAGTGAACTCCCATTCACAATTGCTACAAAGAGACAAAGAGAATAAAATACCTAGGAATCCAACTTAAAAGGGATGTGAAGGACCTCTTCAAGGAAAACAACAAACCACAGCTGAATGAAATAAAAGAGGACACAAACAAATGGAAGAATATTCCATGCTCATGGATAGGAAGATCGATATTGTGAAAATGGCCATACTGCCCAACGTAATTTATAGATTCAATGCCATCCCCATCAAGCTACCAATAACTTTCTTCATAGAATTGGAAAAACTACTTTAAAGTTCATATGGAACCAAAAAAGAGCCTGCATTGCCAAGACAATCCTAAGCAAAAAGAACAAAGCTGGAGCCATCACGCTACCTGACTTCAAACTATACTACAAGGCTACAATAACCAAAACAGCATGGTACTGGTACCAAAACAGAGATATAGACCAATAGAACAGAACAGAGGCCTCAGAAATAACACCACACATCTACAACCATGTGATCTTTGACAAACCTGATAAAAACAAGAAATGGGGTAAGGATTCCCTATTTAATAAATGGTGCTGGGAAGACTGGCTAGCCATGTGTAGAAAGCTGAAATTGGATCCCTTCCTTACACCTTATACAAAAATTAATTCAAGATGGATTAAAGACTTAAATGTTAGGCCTAAAACCATAAAAACCCTAGAAGAAAACCTAGGCAATACCATTCAGGACATAGGCAAGGACTTCATGACTAAAACACCAAAAGCAATGGCAACAAAAGCCAAAATTGAAAAATGGGATCTAATTAAACTAAAGAGCTTCTGCATGGCAAAAGAAACTATCATCAGAGTGAACAGGCAACCTACAGAATGGGAGAAAATTTTCGCAATCTACCCATCTGACAAAGGGCTAATATCCAGAACCTACAAAAAACTTAAAAAATTTACAAGAAAAAAAAACGAACAACCACATCAAAAAGTGGGCATAGGATACGAACAGACACTTCTCAAAAGAAGACATCTGTGCAGCCAACAGACACATGAAAAAATGCTCATCATCACTGGCCATCAGAGAAATGCAAATCAAAACCACAATGAGATACCATCTCATGCCAGTTAGAATGGCAATCATTAAAAAGTCAGGAAACAACAGATGCTAGAGAGGATGTGGAGAAATAGGAACGCTTTTACACTGTTGGTGGGAGTGTAAACTAGTTCAACCATTGTGGAAGACTGTGTGGTGATTCCTCAAGGATCTAGAACTAGAATTACCATTTGATCCAGCCATCCCATTACTGGGTATATACCCAAAGGATTGTAAATCATGCTACTATAAAGACACATGCACACGTATGTTTATTGCAGCACTATTCACAATAGCAAAGACTTGGAACCAACCCAAATGTCCAACAATGATAGACTGGATTAAGAAAATGTGGCACATATACACTGTGGAATACTATGCAGCCATAAAAAACGATGAGTTCATGTCCTTTGTAGGGACATGGATGAAGATGGAAACCATTGTTCTCAGCAAACTATCACAAGGACAAAAAACCAAACACCCCATGTTCTCACTCATAGGTGGGAAGGGAACAATGAGATCACTTGGACACAGGACGGGGAACATCACACACCGGGGCATTTCGGGGGGTGGGGGGCTGGGGGAGGGATAGCATTAGGAGAAATACTTAATGTAAATCATGCGTTGAAGGGTGCAGCAAACCAACATGGCACATACATACCTATGTATCAAACCTGCACGTTGTGCACATGTACCCTAGAACTTAAATTATAATTTAAAAAAATAATAATAATTTTACCTTATTCCTGTGATGTCTTTCATGGATGGACAGGAAATTGTCAATAATTATATATAAGGGAAACCTGGGACATTGAGGACATCATTTGCTTTTTGCTCAACCTCTCAGAATCTTGTTTTTTCCTTTTATCACAAATCAAATCATGTTGCTGGGCAGAGAAAGGCTTGGAGAATATGGTATCCTGCCCCCAAATAGTGATTATTTTCTCCATATTTCTGTGGGAGTAGGAAATACTACAAACCAGAACCTAGAAATCATTTGTTTATATCTTAAATTCATCAACCCCAGTTAAAGTTATATATAGAAATTTAATATGAGAAAGTGGTAAATTTTTACTTTTTAAAGACAGAATATCATTATTTCCAGTGAGTTTCTCACATGAAAAGATAGTGTAAGATTAAAAAAAAAGTGGTGAGATTGCCAAGCTAACAATCACTTATTTCCTTGATACTGATAACTACGATACATCTGCTTCCTCTAAGTCTTATTCTCTGCTAAGTGATTTTCAGACATTTTATTTAATCCTACAATGATGATTCAACAGCAAATGTAATTAGTTGGCAGATCCAAGAGTCAGTTCCCTCATCCTTCTTTCATGCTGCCTTCCCCTGTAGTGGCTAGAAAAGTGAAATACTCAATTTTCCAAACTTTCTTACAGCAAGAGATGGCTATGACAAGTATTGGCCAACAGTCTATAAACAGAAGTAGATTTAAGAGATTTCTAGAAAAGCCTTTCATTTTCTGATTGAAGAAACTGCCAAAATGGACATAATTCTTCCTTTCTTCTGCTTTGAATGTGGATTTGATGCCTAGAGCTGTGGCAGCCATCTTGTCACCATATGAAAAAGACCAAGAGCATTGCAGAGAAGCCAACCCTGATATTACTGAACCATTAAACCAATTCCAGCAGCCATCTATCTCCAGATTTCTTGCCATGAAAAGGAAAATAAGCCCCTACTTTTTATAGTCATTGTTAGTCAAATGTTTTACTACCACAACATATAAATGTTCCTGACTGAAGTTTCAAATCCCATTTTCTTAACCAAGCCCAATATTTCTTCTCTCCCTGTACTCAGTATTAAACTAGATATTGCATTAGTAATATCTCACAAACTTCCCAACACAAATTTTTATGCTAAGTTCCAAGTACATGTGAGGTGCTGGTTGCAAGATGAAGCCAACTGATTGCTGATTTTAGTATACTCATCATGAAGAGAAGCAGAGTAAGTAGTAACTACCACAGGTTTGCTTTTTATCTGTCTGTAACTTTAATATTAAAAAAACAGAAAGCAAGAATAACACCAAAGTATAAAATGTAGGACTTTCAGAGAGCTTATTTCTTGGGTACAGAACTTTCATTCATCCTTTTATTTCTGAAGGCTCTGCAATCATCAAGCTGCTCCTAATTTAGAGAACTTTAGAATTACTAGAATCATTTCCTGGGAAATTTGAGTTATGAAGACAATTGAAGTGAAACTGCATTCACAGATTGTAGTATCATAGAAAGAGGGCAGACTTTGAAGCCAGATAGAAGCTTAAGCACCTGGGGTGATTTATTTAGCCTGCTTGTGTTTCAGAATTCTCATCTGCAACAGGTAAGTTGCAGACCAAAGATATCATTTCTGTGACATGCTTTGTACAGACGATGGAATATATTAAATGTTCAGTAAATATTTTGTATTTTTCTTAATTTAATTATCTTTCTGATATCTTGGCTTTTTAAAAATCTTTAGACAAAGCCAGAGAAGAAACATCCCACTATGTTCAACCAGTCTCATGCTTACTCAAAATGACTTTCTGGCCTCAAAATAAAATCTTTTTTTCAACCTATAAATCTCTAAGTACAAAGCAGGGAAATTGTGGTGAGAGCAGCCATTGATTCTGATGAGATCTCTGACTGGGCTGAGCAAACACTGGGTAAATTCCAAGTTCAATGAGGGCTAAGCAAATAAAACCACAGCCAGTTCTGTTTGCTCCATCTGCCTAAGATGTGAAGAAAGTGTAAATGGGGTGTTCTGTTAGCCTTCATTTTATTTATTTAGCAAATGTAAAATTGGTCATGGAACCTGTAGTACATTCTACAGCCCAGGTCACAAAATGTTAGCAATAAATGAAAACCAAGATCTTATAACATCTTCATAGTTGTTTTCCCCTCTAGACTGTTCATGTAATAAGTATTTGAGATCCTTCTGTTTGTTAGACATTGAGGATACAAAGATTAATAAGATACTGCTCCTGACCCCTTGAAAGGCTCATAATCTGCTTGGAATCAGAAGCTGGTTTCTGGGGCGACCATGATGGGTAGCAATGGCAGTTGAGAATGAGGTTTTTTTGTAGAGATCATGGAAAATAAATGCTCAACAGTTCAAGTTATGTGATAAAAGGTCTTCCCTTCTTGTGCCTCCCTCATAAGGCTTCTCTATGCAAGTGCCAAGGCTGGGAGACTGGATCAAGTCAGACAAGATTATCTAGGCTTGGGCGGAACTAAGATTATAAAACCAGCCCAAGAAAGGAGAGAACTGTAAGTTATCTGTTCCCCATGGCCTGACTCAAATGTCAAATGTCTACTCTGCCAAGCAGCTCAGGTGGGCAACCTGGAAGCTTAGCTTATGTCTGCATGTTGTAGCTTCATCCTGAGCAGAAATGGTGGAAATTGTGCCCTGATAACAAATCCAGAGGCTCTCTTCTTGCCAAACTCAACCATACACAATTTGTCTGCAGCTACTGTGCTTCCTCTCCCTGCAATAGCTGAGTGAACAGAGACGGAGGAGTAATAAGGAAATAGACATGCAAATAAGTTATTATAATGCAATGTACTATGGAAGCACAGACTAATGACCAATGAATTCTTCTTGGTCCCAGAAACAGATGCTCACAGAAAACTCAGAAGACTTCTCAAGTGCTAATACTTAAAAGAAAATATAGACGTTTTGTTGAGCCGGTACATGAAAAGAGGAGAAGATAAGGAGAGAGCATGCTGGCCAATGGAAGAGCATGCGAAGTGCAAAAAGGCAGGAAAGCAACTGACGTGTTCTGGAAAAGTCAAACAATTCAACATTGGAGTTCAGGTGTTCCATATGTGTAAAGGGTGAGAGCAGCCATTGATGCGGATGCAGTGTCCCTGATGGGGCTAATCATTAGACAACACATACATGCATCAAAACATCACACTGTACCTTAGAAATAGGTACAATCATTATCTGTCAATTAAGAAATAAGTATTAATATCTTAATCTGTGGGAGGGAAAGAAAAAATCAGTTGGATGTTGCCTTTTATGATTAAAGAGTCAGTGCAGCTCAAATTTGCTTCATAAAAGGACACATTTTTCATTTCCTATAGATTACATAACAGGGAGATTTCACATGTTAAAAACCCATATTTTTGTTTTCTCTTGAAAACTCAAATGTGGCAGCAATCGTGGAGGTGAAAGGCAGCAGTCGTTTAGAAAAATACCCGATCCAGTTGGCCACCAACCCTGACCAGCCCATTTCATTTTTCTTCCTGCCAGGCCTTGGAAAGAAGTGAGTGTTTTACTCCTGCACTCAGTGATGAAAAGATAAAATTTTTAAACAGGAGACTGATAGGATTACATTAGTTTTATGTTCAACATAGTGAGCAGAGAAGGAAGGGATACCACACACACTCTGCTATCCCCTGCTAGCATTTTAATAATTTAAAAATCCCTCGCTCCTGCTTAGGCAATTTTTAATAGTGGGTAAGTGAACCTCTGAAATATAGCTCCTTTGCTACCAAATTCCCCTTTTTCTCTCCTTTAGTGAAAGGATTTTCAAATCATAGAGTCCTTTTTCAGAAAACCACAGGAGATAATCGATTTTATTGTGTTGAATGTCTTTAAATAATTCAAATCAAAGTATACTATGAACTTAATATAACTCATCTATGGTGTTCTAACGGTTATTAAATACCTAGATTTGCTCCAATGAGTTAAATGAAAGTTTATCCTGAATGTGCAATGTTTGCAAAGCCCTTTGGCATGTGTGTTGCTGTGGCATGTGGACTCACTACTTGATCGTGGTTAAGAAGGTTTGTCCCCAAGTGAAAAAGTTGAGTGGGGAAAGTTGAGTTTAATAATATCAACATATATCATTGCAATGCACTGATTTAAAACCAAATTAATATTTTATCCTCAGGTAATTCTTACTATAATCCAAAAAGTCTCATCAAAAGAGATTTATTTAAAAAACTTTTCTTTTATTAAGTTTACTAACCAGAGTTATTTTTAAGAGTCTCCAAGATGAATACCTGAGATGTAGAAAGACGTAAAGTTTCTGGAGAAATCGAGGTTGCAAAATCCTGTAAAGTAAAATACTGACTAATGGGAATTTTGAACAGATATGTCTAATGCTATTATAATGAATGAACACAAGTGGATAAAAATGATTGACAAAAGGATAGAGGATCTCTAATATTTACTGAGTTCCTTCTACATGTCAGGTACTATTTTAGGTCTTTCATATATCACATAATACACCTAAACCTCACAGTAAACCTGTGTCAGGTTACTATCCTCACTTTACAGGTGCAGAAACTGAAACACCGAGAGGTTAAGTAATATATACAAGGTTGCGTAGTTGCAAATGGCAATCAATTTTGAACTTAAGATTTGTCTAATTCCAAGGCTATGCTTTGGAGAGAAAATAAACACTGTAAATGATGAAGAGTTTCACCAAGCATTACCCAATCTGCTGAAAGACTGCTGCTAACCTCAGCTGTATGGGTGAATCTGAAGCCAGGTGCACACATTGGGAAAGGGAGGTTCACAGGTCCCCTACATTAGTTCTTCTGTTAAGAGATGCTCCTGCAATATTACATAGGCCGCTTTGCCCACTGTCACTCACACACACACACACACACACATATGCACCACAGCAGTGCTAAATGTCTAGGAATTTATGACAGGATGGGCCATTACTTCTACCCAAAGATGTAAATCCTTTTAAAAAATACCAAATGTTGGGCACCTAGACAGAGAGCACCCCATTCATCAGCATAGATAAATATATAAAATCCACTATAAGAAAACTGAAATAAATACACTCACATGCTGTCAATCTTTGCCAACACTATGAACTGAAGTGAGCACAAGAAGCCACTGGTAACCTTCAGATAAGAAATCCTTAAGCCACAGACCCTCTTTCACTTGTTTCTTTGGTATTTTACTAGGTTTAAATAAAGGCTGACAAATCACTCCACCACAGTAGCAATAATTCTACCTAGATATTTTTGTATGTGAAGGAACCAACCAATAAGACTTAAGAACAAGAACAAAGCTGCCAAAGGAGATGGATGTGATGGCAACCTGAAAGATCATGATGTCCACCTGATGTGAAAGAGGAGGAGGGCTGCACTGCACAGGCTAGGAAACCAAAGGTGGCTCATTGGGTTCATCTGAGGCTCTCTAAGTGAAGACCGGGTCACAACAGAAACGCCCAAAGAGAGGTTCTGAAAGAGCTGTTCTTTTCCTGATGACTTCACTTCATTTAGGGATTCACAAAAGTACATGCTTACTTTCTTTTTTTTTTTTTTTGAGATGGAATCTTGCTCTGTCCCCCAGGCTGGAGGGCAGTGGCACAATCTCGGCTCACTGCAAGCTCTGCCTCCCGGGTTCACGCCATTCTCCCGCCTCAGCCTCCTGAGCAGCTGGGACTACAGGCATCCGCTACCACGCCCAGCTAATTTTTTGTATTTTTAGTAGAGACAGGGTTTCACCGTGTTAGCCAGGATGGTCTCGATCTCCTGACTTCGTGATCCGCCCATCTCGGCCTCCTAAAGTGCTGGGATTACAGGTGTGAGCCACCGTGCCCAAATTTTGCTACTTACCTAGTATGAACAAGCAAAAAGAGCAGAAAATAATGCCCTCCAAAAAAAAGTCACTTGTAATAGCAGTTATCAGAATTTTAAATGGAATCATCATTCTACATGATGGCAACAGCTCTTCTGTAGATGGGCACATTTCCAGAATCTTGACACTTGTTTTATATCCAGATTTCACAATTTTCTCCAGTTACAATAAAATGTGCAGGGAGCACTTATGTTCCTGCTCATATATTATCTTAGATTTTAAAATCTTGGAGGCAATGATATATTCTATACTTATTTTTATATAACCTACTGCACTTTCTTTTAAATAATAACTCATTGCCTTTGTAAAGCAGATTATATATTTCATTTGAGTACTTCCATTATATCATTTTATTTGACTCTCATTATCCTGTGAGGGAAAGCAGGATGGCATTATTTCTATTTTACAGATAAAGCCTTAAAAGAAGGTAGTTTCCCAGGAACACACAGCTATTCAACAAGAGGGTTGAGGCAAGATCCTGAATCTTCTGATCTATGGATAAATGAACCCAATTTTTTGATTCATTTATTTTCAAAGAAGAATAAGGCTGTAGTGATTGTAATCCTCTTAAGTCTACTCAGCCTAAAGCATGGATCAAATGCAGGGAACCCTTGGCAAAAATCTCTAGAATGCATGGTGTTTAGCCCAGCTGCTGCTTTCAAGGGCAATAGCAAATTAGCAGTCTGTGGAAATTGTGGGTTAGATAGTTCCTTTAAGGACAAAGTTCATTTTGTTTGGGTTTATATTATTTTTTAATGAATACAATGGTCTATCAAATGGCTTAAAAATAAAATAAAGCAAAGGTCATTGCTATGAACTGAATATTTGTTTCCCTTTAAATTCATGTGATGGTATTTGGAGAAGCAGTTTGTGGGAGGTAACCAAGATTAGGTTAGATCATAAGGGTTTGTCCCCATAATGAGATTAGTGTCCTTATTAAATAAAAATTTAAAAAGGAATAGACAGGGGATCTATTTCATGGTGTGTGGAAAGAAAGCTGGCGTGAAGACATAACCAGGAAGAGGACTTTCACCAAGAACGTGACCATGCTGGCTGACTCCTTGATCTCAGACTTACAACCTCAATAGGACTGTGAGAAATAAACATCTGCCATTTAAGCTACCCAGTCTGTGGTATTGGTATTCTGTTCTAGTACACTAAGAAGACAGAGAGAGTCATATAAGTGGGCAAGTGTCATGAATGGTCATAAAATAAGCAGCTTAACACCAGTTCCTTACACCAGATGGCCTCTGTCGTTACCTGAAATTGTGAGCCTGAGCCCCAAATAATAATTTGTTCTTACTGTCTTCTAAAAGGCAGTACACTAAAAATCCTGTTCCTTGTCAGTTATGGCTCCTAAAATGCTACCAATAAAAAAAGCTTTGCAAAACAAAGTTAAAATATATATATATACTGAATTAATTAAAATTTCTGTAATACTGACTAATTAAGCCCTCTAGACAATTACTTCCATATGCAGTTCACTGTTCAATCAGATGTCACATATTATTATCCTAAATAAAAGTTTAAAACTTCCAAAAAGACCTTCTAGAGACACGTTTACAGAGCTATAATACCTAAATACACAGCACAATATACTTTTCATATATATTAACAGCATTAATACCATTCCAAGGAAAAGTATAAGAAGTATATTGGTCTTTTGTCAGATATATAGATTGTGAAGATTTTCTCCCACTCTGTGGGTTGTCTTTTTACTCTGCTGACTGTTCCTTTTGTTGTGCAAAAACTCTTTAGCTTAATTAGGTCCCAGCTATTTATCTTTGTTTTCATTGCATTTGCTTTTGGGTTCTTGGTCATGAAATCCTTTCCTAAGCCAGTGTCTAGAAGGGTTTCTCCAACTTTATCTTCTGGAATTTTTATAGTTTCAGGTCTTAGGTTTAAGTCCTTAATACATCTTGAGTTGATTTTGTATAAGGTGAGAGATGAGAATCCAGTTTCATTCTCCCACATGTGGCTAGCCAATTATCCCAACACCATTTGGTGAAAAGGGTGTCCTTTCCCCACTTTATGTTTTTGTTTGCTTTGTCGAAGATCAATTGGCTGTAAGTATTTGGGTTTATTTCTGGGTTTGCGATTCTGTTCCATTGGTCTATGTGCCTACTTTTATACTAGTACCAAGCTGTTTTGTGACTGCAGCCTTATAGTATAGTTTGAAATCAGGTAGTGGGATGACTCCAGATTTGTTCTTTTTGCTTACTCTTGCTTTGGCTATGTGGGCTTCTTTTGGTTCCACATGAATTTTAGAATTGTTTTTTCTAATTCTGTGAAGAATGATGGTGGTACTTTGATGGGAATTGTGTTGAATTTGTGGATTGCTTTTGGCAGTATGGTCATTTCACAATATTAATTCTACCCATCCATGAGCATGGGATGTGTTTCCATTTGTTTGTGTCATCTATGATTCCTTTCAGCAATGTTTTGTAGTTTTCCTTGTAGAGGTCTTTGACTCCTTAGATAATCCTAAGGGGTTTTTTTGTTTTTTTGTTTTTTGTTTTTGGGTTTTTTTGCAGCTATTGTAAAAGGGGTTGAGTTCTTGATTTGATTCTCTACTTGGTCGCTGTCGCTGTATAGAAGAGCTACTGATTTGTGTACATTAATCTTGTATCCAGAAATTTTGCTGAATTCTTTTATCAGTTCTAGGAGCTTTTTGGAGGAGTCCTTAGTGTTTTCAAGGTAAACAATCATATTGTCAGCAAACAGTGACAGTTTGATTTCCCCTTTACTTTAGTTCTTTCTCTTGCCTGACTGCTCTGTGAACTCAAAGAAATCAGTAAGAAAAAAATAAACAATCCCATCAAAAAGTGGGCTAAGGACATGAATAGACAATTCTCAAAAGAATATATACAAATGGCCAACACACATATGAAAAAATGCTGAACATCACTAATGATCAGGGAAATGCAAATCAAAACCACAATGTGATACCACCTTATTCCTCCAAGAATGGCCATAATCAAAAAATCAAAAAAACAGTAGATGTTGGCATGGATGTGGTGAACAGGGAACACTTCTACACTGCTGGTGAGAATGTAAACGAATACAGTCACTAAGGAAAACACAAAAATTACTCAGGCATGGTGGCACACGCCTGTAGTCCCAGCTACTCAGGAGGCTGAGGCAGGAGAATCACTTGAACCCGTGAGGCGGAGGTTGCAATGAGTCGTGATGGCGCCACTGCACTCCAGCCTGGGAGACAGAGCAAGACTCTCTCTCAAAAAAAAAAAAAAAAAGAAAAAAAAAAGAAAAGAAGGTAGAAGTGTCAGAATACCTGATGTGTTTGAGCAGGCTGAAAGGAGATATAGAAAAATGTAAGAGAAGTGAGAAAAAAAAATATATATATATATACACACACACATATATGAAAAAAACATTACTATTAGCAATTAAGGAAAAATGGGAAGTTATGCAACAAATGAGTAGTGGTCAGAACATACTACTGTTGTGACTAGAATTTACAAGATCATAGTAAACATAAAGGCTGAAAATTGGTCTACTCAAAATAATGGCATAAATATTTTGGCTGAATGAGAGGTTATGTTTTTATGCATGCCTGTGCAGGGAAAGGTGATGAAGAAGAGGTAAATTGTCCTCCTCCATGGTGAGAAGTTAGTAGATGTTGGTTAAAACAAAATGAATAGTGCCATAAGCTGTTGCTCAGAAATGTACAGGTGCTTTCTACAAAATTCTGTTGAAAATGGTTGCTTCCGGAATGCAAGAAATGGGCAGGAGAGCCTGGGAATAGATATTCTTCCAATAGCTTTGTAGAACTTTATAAGTCTTTAAACTAGGTGCTGAAAAATAAAAAAAAATAAAATTAATTTTAAAAAATTTAAACATTTAACTTGCTACCTTTTTCCACATTAAATAAGCCAACTTTTAAGCATTCCTTCCATGGGCCAAAGCTTTTGCTACTTAACCATGAAATCATATATGTTTATTCTAGCAAACATTAGAGAATGCATTGTGTGTGTGTGTGTGTGTGTGTGTGTGTGTGTGTGTGTTTACCACTCTCATGAGAAAATTATTCTGCTGGATTTCTGCTAGCAAGAAAGATTGCCTGAAATGGTTAGGAGAATCACTTTTAATAGCTTGGAAGAAAGGACAGTTTTCTAAGCAATTGTCCCCAAGTTCACCAGAGAATAATGAAGCTAATTTATAAAAATCCCCAATGCAAACCTTTGTCCTACTTCTTGGGCCTCATCCATCTTCTCTGCATTGGCAGGCAAGAACAAATGTAGCAAAAACCCTTTCCTAACTTCACAGATACTGATAAATAAAATTAACTGATGAACGTAACCAGAACACCTAGGCAAACTGGATAACAATTTTACACTTAAACTTTCCTTATTAAAGAGAATATGCTGATCTAGCAGTACACCTCTAGATATAGGGGGCATGATAGCCCCCTTCACTAATGTGTCATTCAGAATCTTTCTGTCTTATTTAGTAATTTTTCATGCTTGTGGGGATCCAAGGTTTTCTTTTTTTTTTTTTTTAGACTTTTTCATTGAGTAAGTTAAAATGGAGATATTTTACTATCATCTTCATGTTTAAAACTCTACTCCACTGCACGATGCCTTCCTGGAAATATTTAACTGGAACAAAAACACTCTAAGATGTGCATACAGGAGATGCACCCCACAGGCTCCTCAAACACACACACTGGCATACAGCAATCTCTAATTGATCTGGAGGCCGTAGCCATATCAACAGATATTTTAGTTTATGCTGTATTGTTCCTCCACTACTTAGAATAGTTTTCTATTCTCCTTAGCAGCGACCCTCAATCTTTAGTTGGGTATATAAGCATTACACAAGGTGTATTTTAAATATGCAGGTTCTCTACTATGCAGCCATAAAAAAGAATGAGTTCATGCCCTTTGCAGGGACATGGATGAAGCTGGAAGCCATCATTCTCAGCAAACTAACACAGGAACAGAAAACCAAACACCGCATGTTCTCACTCATAAGTGGGAGCTGAACAATGAGAACGCAGGGACACAGGGAGGGGAACATCACACACCAGGGCCTGTCAGGGGGTGGGGGGCAAGGGGAGGGAGAATATTAGGACAAATACTTAATGCATGTGGGGCTTAAAACCTAGATGATGGGTTGATAGGTGCAGCAAACCACCATGGCACATGTATACCTATGTAACAAACCTGCACGTTCTGCACATGTATCCCAGAACTTAAAGGAAAATTAAAACAAATAAATAAAATAAAAATAAAAATGCAGATTCTCAGGCGCCCCGTTATTTGGATTCTTTGTGTTTAGTGTTGAGTTTGTGAATCTGCATTTTAACAAATCCCCCTCCACCCTATGAGTCTGCTGCCATATTTACAACATAGTGGCCTGCAGGATACAACTTAAATCCTTTACCAGAATATACATAGTTCTCCCAACCTGGTCCTTGCCTATTTCTCTAACCTATGTTTCTTATATCCCAGAATGAACCTGTTGCTCAAACTGAACTATCACCTTTCCATGCTATTTCAAATATTTGTAGCATATTTCATTTTACTTCCTAGAACACACTTCTCCCGCCAGTATTTATTATCTTCCCACCATACCAAGTATCTCCTGTGAATAATGGACTTTTTGGGGAGGGGATGCTCTTTTATCTTCATTTCTCACTCAAAACATGTTCTAATTAGAGCTGCTAACTATAGTATCTACTCCCTTGGCCACAGGAAACCAGTGGAAGGCATGTGAGGCCAACCAAATACTTTCCCTGGGATTTTTTTTGAACTAGAAATTTTATCTTTCTGTGCCTGGCTTATTTCAAAAAGAAATAGAACTTTAATAGTGTAAAAGCTGAGAGATGTGTGGGTCAAGAGCTATATGAAATCTTGTTCCTGAAAAATGGAGGAAAACAGCCAAGAAGAATAAAGCTAACATCCACAAAGGAGCAGGAATAGTTAATAAATGTACATTGATCAAACATAATTTTGCTACTGGTAATACTGTTATACATTATTAAGCTAAACATATGGAAACAAATATTACTTGACTGAACCTGAATGAATACAGGCTGAGGTCTGCATGGGTATGTTTTACATGGGAAAAATGTATTAAATTCTAAGATTTATTTAGGATATTAGGACTGTTCATAGTTTAAACAGGCCAATAATTTAATATAATATCATACATTAATATGTAACTAAGAGAAATAATTTCTTATAGATAACTCTAAATTGGAAGGAAATTATAACATTTTCTGGGTCATAGATTCCTTTGAGAGACTGATAAAAGTTTGAATTCTTTTAGGGGAAAAAATGCATATTTACCCCAAATTCAACAAACAGTATCTGGAGAATCACAGATGACCAAAAACCTATTCATGGAGTTCTTTTAAAACTTCCAGGGCTCCTGTTGTTTCCTGACTTTTTAATGATTGCCATTCTAACTAGTGTGAGATGATATCTCATTGTGGTTTTGATTTGCATTTCTCTGATGGCCAGTGATGGTGAGCATTTTCTCATGTGTTTTTTTGGCTGCATAAATGTCTTCTTTTGAGAAGTGTCTGTTCATGTTCTTTGCCCAATTTTTGATGGGGTTGTTTGTTTTTTTCTTGTAAATTTGTTTGAGTTCATTGTAGATTCTGGATATTAGCCCTTTGTCAGATGAGTAGGTTGTGAAAATTTTCTCCCATTTTGTGGGTTGCCTGTTCACTCTGATGGTAGTTTCTGGAGAGGATGTGGAGAAATAGGAACACTTTTACACTGTTGGTGGGACTGTAAACTAGTTCAACCATTGTGGAAGTCAGTGTGGCGATTCCTCAGGGATCTAGAACTAGAAATACCATTTGACCCAGCAATCCCATTACTGGGTATATACCCAAAGGATTATAAATCATGCTGCTATAAAGACACATGCACACATATGTTTATTGCGGCACTATTCACAATAGCAAAGACTTGGAACTAACCCAAATGTCCAACAATGATAGACTGGATTAAGAAAATGTGGCACATATACACCATGGAATACTATGCAGCCATAAAAAATGATGAGTTCATGTCCTTTGTAGGGACATGGATGAAATTGGAAATCATCATTCTCAGTAAACTATCCCAAGAACAAAAAACCAAACACCACATATTCTCACTCATAGGTGGGAACTGAACAATGAGAACACATGGACACAGGAAGGGGAACATCACACTCTGGGGACTGTTGTGGGGTGGGGGTAGCGGGGAGGGATAGCATTGGGAGATATACCTAATGCTAGATGACGAGTTAGTGGGTGCAGTGCACCAGCATGTCACATGTATACATATGTAACTAACCTGCACATTGTGCACATGTACCCTAAAACTTAAAGTATAATAATTTAAAAAAAAAATTAGAAACACCAAAAAAAAAACTTCCAGGGCTCAACCAGACTTGTTTCTGTTCTGCTCTACATGACTGCCACACAAGCCTACCTGTATATGTAAGAATGAATAAAGTAAATTGGAATCAGGGAGGTTTGAAATGGATTTACTTTCTAGGTTAGATGTGGTAGACAGTAACATAGACAAGAGAATTCCAAGTGGCAATTAAGAACCAAAGGAAAATGTTAACATAGTCAGTTTTAGGAACATATTTCTTGGTGGTGCGCAGTGGCTTATGCCTGTAATCCCAGCACTTTGGGAGGCCAAAGTGGGCGGATCACTTGAGGTCAGGAGTTTGAGACCAGCCTGACCAAAAGGGTGAAACCCTGTCTCTACTAAAAAATATAAAAATTAGCCAGGCGCGGTGGCACGCGCCTGTAGTCCCAACTACTCAGGAGGCTGAGGCAGAAGAATCACTTGAACCTGGGAGGCGCAGATTGCAGTGAGCCAAGATCGCACCACTGCACTCCAGCCTGGGCGAAAGAGCGAGACTCCATCTCAAAAAAAAAAAAAGAAACATACTTCTTTACTCTACTTTTCATTTTAATTTTTTTATTTGTGTTACTGTTTTTGCTATTTGTGGAAGTATCAGTTTGTTTAATTTTCTTACAATTTCTTATTATATTTATCTAATTCAAAATGCAAGCAATTTTATTATTTTTCTTTATATTTCCTTAGGATATTTACCTGATGCAAAATACATGTGCTTTTGTGCCACATTCCAGGTACTTTGTCTTCATATCTATTGACTCTGAAGCTGGGGCAGCAATTTCAAATGTCAAATAAGTAACTTAAGGTTGAATAGAGGCTCTACATATTAAGTAGAAATTTCATATTGTCTACCGCAAGTATGTCATGAGATAATGTTTAGACTATTTCACAGTCTGACATCTAATAATGTGTTTTATACTGTTTTTTAGTTATTGCATGCCTATCTATCTTCTTTATCCTACTACATGGTAAATTACTTTGGAGAAGACTCCAGGTCAGGTTTTCTGTTTCCCATGTTATTTCCACGTGGTATTTTGGTCAACATTATGAGTTGCATGTGACAGAAACAACTCAAACTGTGTTAGCGGGTCAGGAGGAAGGAAGGGTTATTGGCTTCAAAAACTGAAGAATTCAATGAATCATTCTTCCTTGGGCACAGCTGGATCCAAGCGCTTCAACAATGTTGTCAGAGATCAACCCTTCTACAGCTTGCACAGTTTCTCTCTGTGTTGGCATCATCATTTGATGAGTTCTTCCCAATTGAAAGCTCTCAGCACCTCCAAGCTTACATTCCCCTTGGCTTCTCTCTCTCAACTGTACATTCTTCATTCTTACATACTCCTGGAATTGAGTGCCATGTACCTACCCAATAGTATACCCAATTCTGAAAAGTCTGGAGATAGGAGTCAACTTTATCCAAATTATGTGGGTTAAAAAGTGAGAAGAGATACTTGCCAAAAGGAAAATAAAAGTACAGTTATCAAAATAATGGCAATTATGAGATGGAAATTAGGTTCTGGACAGGCGAAAACAACATATATTCACTACACAGAATTTACTAGCTTTAAGCATGAGGTAAGAAGCAGGACTTAACTCAAAGGTGGGGCCAGAACTGCAGACCAGATTGAAGACTAGCTAAAACAGGGAAGTGATGAAAGCACCTCTCTATAAGACATGTCAACCAGTGCCATGTCAGTTTACTATTGCCATGGCAATACCTGGAAGTTACCACCCCTTTCCAAGGCAACAACCTGAAAATTACCACACTTATTTTAGAAATTTCTGCATAGTCTGTTTCTTAATTTGCATGTAATTGAAAGTGGGTGTAAGTATGGCTGCAGAACTGCTTCTGGGCTGCTACTCTGGGCATACTGCCTATGGGGTAGCCCTACTGCACAAGCAACAGTACCTCTGCTACTGCTGTACACTGCTGCTTCAATAAAAGTTGCTGTCTAACACCACTGGCTCACCCTTGCTTTCCTGGGTGAAGCCAAGAACCCTCCCAGGCTAAGCCCCAATTTTGAGGTACACTTGTCCTACATCAAGTACATATCAAACAGTCCTTGGTTGATAGAGCATTCACTCTTACTAAGGACTGAAAATAAATAATCATTTTTTTGTCCATCTTATACAGGACCCATTTGATTGCAAGGCATAGAAACCACTCGATATACTTCAAGTAAAAATTGGTTTTATTTTATTCTCAACCAGTCTCACTGTAAGAATTACAGCAGGGCCTCCAGAAAACCAAAAAAAAAAAAAAAAAGCAAAAACAAACAGCTGCTAGTTACATGAGGGTGTTGGGGTGGGGACTACAGAGTAATGAGGAGGATATGTCTGATGAATTCTACTTGTCTTTGTGCATCGGTGTGCCTCTTTCATTCTTTAAACCAGCTTCCCGTAAGTTTGGTCCACAGTACAATATTTTCTTACCTAGGACATCTTGAAATAAGAACTCAACACCAGAATGCATTGGGGCGTTTAGCTTAGCTGCCCACAAAAACCTCAGTTCTCTGGTCCAGATCGGATTGGCCCAACTGAGGTCAGGAATCCACTCCTGGTTCCCTAGAGGAGCTGTCTGAAGTAGAAATTAGAGCAGAGGGGCTGGAGGTGAAGGTATTAGAGCTCAAAGAGCTTCTTTTTGTGGCTCCAGTGGCAGGACAGGTCCCCTGAAGGTGGTTGTGGAGGCAAAGAGGAAGTTATTAACATCTTTAATCCAATTTGATACAAAATTTAATTCTGCATTTTATCTCAACTACAAGAGAGTAGCACAAATGGAATTTTAAAAGACAGTAAGACTCTAATAATGAGAATTCCGTTCTATTTGTAGGCCAAAACCAAATTATTATTTAAGGAAAATGGTGAATAATGAGATGATCTGTGTAGCAAAATAAGAATTTCATTCATTTTCAAGCAAGGTTACTAAAAGTGCTTTATCTTATAAGTTAGGTAAGTAATGGTTATAATCAGTAGAATTTGAAGTTTTAAGAGATAATAAAGGTAACCAACTTTTGCTTCCCACTAAATGTAAGAATGTCTGATATCCATATGTATATATCTTTAAAATTCACATTGGAGTGAATAACAAACTTGTAGAGAATATTTGAATAGATAAGTTATTTTTAAAATAGTAAGACAGCATACATATTGCAGTTTCAGCTTCTAAAGACCCACTAAAGGAGTTTTTAAATTGTTTTAGCTATATTTACCATTTACTTTATATCTGTTGATATTAAAGAAATGGAAATGCACATATCTTTTCATTAGATTTGAGTAAATTGAATCAACCACACATAAATGTGTTCCTTTTCAGTGTTCTACTTAAAATTAACCACCTATCAAGAAAAGCCAAATGCTATTTATGATAGCACCTTCCAATAGAGGGAAAAACAAAACTGATTTGATTCATGTATATGCCAACATTTAAACCATCTTGCAGTTCAAAATCTGCAGAATGTTTTCTATTTGTTTTTACATATATATGTTCATACTTCTACATGAGGTGAGTAGCTATCAATAGGTTGCAATGAACTAGTAACTTGTTTATATTCTGAATGTTTTCTTAACCCTGTCTGTGTTCATTAGTTATGGTCATAATAAGCTTGTTGCTGTGAAATCTCTAGTACACAAAGAAAAGAAAATATATATATATATTTTTTGATATACATATATATATATATAAAAGAATGTCTCTGAAAATTTGTCATCTCTAGTTCCTTGAGATTGCTGAAATTGTCTTTCTGGAATTTTCATCTCCCAGATCCCACATCAGCATTTACCTTTCCAGGGAAGCAATTATACAAAGTAGTTAAGGCAAAGGGCTTAAAGTCAGATGGAATAGAAGTTAAACTCCTCCTTCTTCACTTACAAACTGTAGGATCTAGGACAAGTCATTTAACTCCTCTCAGCCTGTTTCTTAACCTACATAGAATGTGTACCTACCTCACAAGTCATTGTGTGGATTAACTGATATAAAATACACAAAGCACTTAGGATAGTAACCAATACAAAATACTCACTTAATTATAGCCATCGTTGAGAAAAAATCATGATTAGGCCAGCCGCGGTGGCTCACGCCTGTAATCCCAGCACTTTGGGAGGCCGAGGTGGGCAGATTACCTGAGGTGAGGAATTCGAGACCAGCCTGGCCAACACGGTGAAACCCCGTCTCTACTAAAAATACAAAAATTAGCAGGGCATGGTGGCATACACCTGTAATCCCAGCTACTTGGGAGGCTGAGGCAGGAGAATTGCTTGAGCCCTGGGAGACAGAGGTTGCAGTGAGCCAAGATTGTGCCACTGCACTCCAGCCTAGCCAACAGAGTGAAGCTCTGTCTCAAAAAAAACAAGAGAAATAATCATTATTTAAAATAAATAATAATAGTAATAATGACAGGGCCTTTTGTACTTCTGAACTGATATATATTGCTTTTATAATACATATGGTAATGATTTTTATATAACTGTCCTACTCATCCTCATCAGACAGTGAGCTTCTTGAAGATGATGATTTTGTTTTATATTTTCATATATAATCTTGGTAAATATTATTTGCTAAACAATTCCTGTAAATGGAATTGAAGCTAAAAATAGCTACAAGCCAATTATTTCTTCCAGGAGGCAGAATTATGCAGCTCTTTATTCTGCTTTATACATTTGAAGTGTGTAAGACATACACTCTCTGAAACCTTCCATCAAAATCAAGAATGAAAGAGGCAGGTGTTCATGGTAAAACAGGCTATGCGGTGCTCTTAAATGGTAGCCGAGTTTAAACTCTCAAGGCAAGTACTGAGTTAATGTCTAACAAAACCTGACTGCTATTCCATTTTAAGTTCTGACAGTGTTCTTAGCAATCTGTATAGCAGAGAGAGGCTGCAACATTCTTTGAGATATTGCATCAGAACTCTTGGTTCTGGGCTTCAGCCCTTGTTGCATCAATTTATATTCTGAAGGTTATCTTTAAAGCCAGAAAGCTGAGGAACAGAAAGGTTTAAAATAAAAATTTTCTAGGGTTTACTATATCTAAAAATCCTTATATTTTAAAATTGGCTTCACCTTGATAATAGGGCTCTGATTGTAGTAGGAAACAGACTTAACTTTTATTTCCCTTTGAAAATGTACTTTTCCAGTGTGGGAGAATGCACTGAACTACTTTTAAAATTATGTTCATGGATATTTCATAGGTTGCAGTAGACTTGTGAGTCCTAAAAAAGTTAGCATTTTTCTTCTCTGGAATCCTGACTCAACCCCAGGACCAATACTCAGCAAACTAAACTGAATCTGAACAAGGAGCTTAGAGCACCTCCCACTTGCTTCTGAAGGTGCCTCAGGGGCTTACCTGGCCTAGATAAAATTCAAGAAACATTGAAGATGGGTGCTAAATTACAGAGTGGAGAGAGGCTGACTAAAGTCAGATAACCTAACACCTGTCTGGAGAGTAATGAATAAACGTTTATTCTGATCGAGGAACAGAAAAGAAGGTGATGAGTTTGCAATAAGGATAAAGAGAAAGGAGAAGGAACTTCAAGGTGAAGGGCAAAGCACAGAAGTAGAATGTCATCAATGGTCACTTTGGGTTAGTGTGTATCATGGTGATACACAATTAAGCATTCGAGTACATTCTCTGATTTGATTATTCAATCTGGAAAAAGGCCACAGAAGGCTTCAGCAAAACACTGCACAGTGGGAGAAACTTTTGACACTCCAAATCTAGTAGATCTTAATGGATTTAAATATATTTGATCCCTTCATTACTCAGTTCTCCAAATATACAGTGTTTACTGTGTCACTAGGACATGCCAAGCACAATGTATTTTGAACGGTCACCACCAGCATAAGGTGAAGATATGCCGCATCACACTTTCAACTAATGCATACACATACATACAGGAAAACACACTTTCAAAGAAAGACAATATTTTCCCAAATGTAAAGTAATCTGCAAAAATGTCCCCTGCCCACAGGGCAGGGAGCATTTTACATTTTAATGCAGAGCAGTTTCAGTTCCCCATACACACTTATTCACATCAAGTCAGGCTTTCTTTCAATAAGACACCAGCAGATAATGGTACCTGTACAAGCAACAAAGGTATCTGCCTCGTATCACCACTCTAAGGTACAAAAAATGACTTTAAAAAAGCTTTGAAATGATCTTTCTGTTAGTTTATTTTTCCTTTTATCTTCATCCAAATTCCTCCTGATCCCCCCACTTCCCCACAACTGGTTTCTATAGCCAAAAGGGAAACAGTATGGGGTGAGGAGGATGTATTTTTCTTCTATTTTATAAATACATACTATGTAAATATATGCATATACATATATATTTACACAGTCAAATTTGATGTATCTTAAAATAAGATGTAAGTTGTAAGAGGAAAGCTTTTTTTCAAATGCAACTTTGTAAGAACGAATCTTAAAGTAAGATGATACTGCAGTCACTGGGTTGCTGAAAGGTGACCTTCACCCCCAACCACATTAGTCAGCAATTCAATTTTCTCAGTATCTTTAAGAGGTGATAATAGCTGCAAATTGTCTTGACATATGCTACCAGCTGCTTCTTTTAAGCAACAGTTACACAACTTGCTTTCTCTCCATTTGAATCAGAAAAAAAAAAAATGTTCTTTAACAGTTGTTTTTACATTTTCCAACTAAAGTTTGGAACTACATGTTGGAACTCCTATGTGCAGGAGTATCCAAGAGCCAGTCTCATTGAAACATATGAAAGCCACTCTTACTGATACATAATTTTACCTTTTCTCAATCTCATTATTTTAAAAAAAGAATTTGTAATGTCATCCTGTTTGATCACATTTCTATCATTTGTCATTGCAATTTCACACTGTGTCTGAAATAACACATTTTTCCAAAGACTGCTCACATCCCTCACTCCATGAGACCCTCTCAACCACTGTGAGTATGGTAGGTGGGGTGGGTAATACTAACCACAGTTCAGAGTAGCAGAAATGGAAACTCAAAGAATTAGAGTATGAATATTTTCAATAACTGTCTTGAGTTCCTGTATCTTCTTTCATACTCCAAGAGAAATCTTGTACTACAGCATTGTAGACTCAATACTCAACTTCATGCAATGACCTCATAAAATTCTATCTTTAATTCCTCCCATTTATTCAAGCTCCACACTTGATTTCTAATGTCTCTTGAAAATTTGGCCCATAAGTCAAATTAAATAGAACATCTCCTATGAGCTTCCCTTCCTTCACAAATTCCTGTTGCTGTCACCTTAGTAGCCAACTGTGACTTCACCTTCAGATTTTTGGAATTCTTCCACCTCTTTCCACAAATAAAATAAGTTTGTCTTCCAACTCCCCACCCCAGAGCTCTTCAGTAGCTCTCCATTTCTTAATCAATAGGCTGAAACTTCTGCCAAGAACCCAGAGTCCTTTAATAACAACCTAGAATCACCCTATCTACCAATCTCGTTCAAATGCTACCCATTTCTTGCCCTTGACGCTAATCAATTTACCCACTTTATTGTCTTATAAAGACATCAGCATCATTCTTGAATGTCTGCCATTTACGTTTTTCTTTTTACCCAAAATTCTTTCCACCAATGATTCAGTCATCACTATTCTCTCCCTACATGCCCACAAAACTGAGTGTCTATTTCACAAATTCAGCTATTCAACACTTTGATAATGTATATCCACTGTTCTCTGAAAATTTTCTCATCTTTGAGCTCTTAAAGATAAGATGAACATAGATAATAATAAATTTTCTGTCCTTTCCCAAGTACCCTAGCCCAGAGATTAGACACACGCAAACAACATAGGTGGCGAGGGTAATTCTGGAGTAGGAATCAGAAAGTTTAGCCCACTAGCAAGCTGCAGAATGTGGACCACCCAATTAATCTCCTGGATTTTAAGATCTCTATCTACAAACAGAGGAATATTCGAATAGGAAAAAGTTTCTCAAAACTCATTCATTCATATCCCATCTTTGTGATTCACTGATGGGAACAGTGTTGCTACTTATGTATATGATGATGGGTATGATTGACTACTGAATCTCCTCAATCCGACATCACCTTTTACCTGCCACTCTTCTTTTTTAGTCCCCTTTATGGCAGGACTGCTCAAAAAATTTTTTCCATTTTTTCTGGATCCCATTTCTTCCCTTCTATGTTTCTCTTCAATCCTTTCTAATTAGGCTTTCTGTTTCTTATACACCAGTAAGCTATATCTGTCAAGGTAATAAATTATCCCCATCTTGCCAAATCTGATGATCAATTCTTAGTTCTTATTTTCCTGAACCTGATAGCAGTATTTACTACAGTTGATCACTATATCCATCTCAAGGTGCATTATTAACTAGGCTTCTAGGATACCACACTATCCTGAGATTTTCTCCTGCCTCACAGGCCACTTCTTTTCAGTCTTCTTTGCCAGTTTCTTCTCTTCTCGATCTCTAAAAGCTGAAATGTTCCAGGACTCAATTTCAGTCTATTTCTCTCTTCAATCTACACTTGTTCACTAGTCATCCATTTGACTTTAAATATCATCTATACATTAACTCTTAAACATATATCCATTTGTAACATTTTATTTGAGCTCCAAATTCATATATACTACTTTTTATTAAACATCACCACTGAGATATCTAATAGGCATCTCATATTTAATATGTCCAAAATGAAACTCTTTAACAAAACCCTGCCCCCTTTAAAGTGCCCAAATGTATTCTTTCCGTGGGCTTCCTCAAATCTGTAAATGGCACTACCCATCACTCAGTAGTTCAAGCCAAAAGTATTGGAAAAATTCTTGATGTTTCTCTTTTCTTCAACCCACACATCCAATCCATTAGCAAATCTTATTGGTTAAACTTTTGAAATGTATCCTGAATCCATTTTTTTCCTCACCAATTCCATCACACAGCCCTAGTAGAAGCAAGGATGCTACTAGTTTAAAATTGTCATCGTGCAAAGAGTTTAAAGGTGCCCATTTGGGGTAGGCATATAGTTGAATGAGAAAGTGGGACACCTAAGAGATTTAGAAAAATGTTGTCCTCCTGTGGGCACATGGCTTAGCAGCAGATGACTTTGCAAAGATTTTTTTTAAAATGTCCATCAATGATAGACTAGATAAAGAAAATGTGGTACATATACACCATGGAATGCTATGCAGACATAAAAAGGAATGAGATCATTTCCTTCACAGGGACATGGATGGAGCTGGAAGCCATTATCCTCAGCAAACTAATGGAGGAACAGAAAACCAAACACTGCATGTTCTTTCTTAAAAGTAGAAGCTGAACAATGAGAACACATGGACACAGGAAGAGGAACAACACACACTGGGGCCTGTCGGGTGGGGCAAGGGGAGAGAGAGCATCACGAAAAATAGCTAATGCATGCTGGGCTTAATACGTAGGTGATGGGTTGATCTGCGCAGCAAACTACTATGGCACACGTTTACCTATGTAACAAACCTGCACATCCTGCACGTGTATCCCAGAATAAAATAAAATAAAAAAGACTCTCCTTCCTTCAGTGGAATATAACCTGTGTCAGGGCACTTGAAGGACAGAGCTCTAGATATACGTCAGCCCTTACTTGATTCTCAACCTACGTAACTCTACTTAGACCATGAGTCAGAGCCTCCATCATCACTCGCCTAGAACACTACAGTCACTTCCTGTTCATCTCGTCATTTCAACCGGTGTCTCCCTGCATTAAGTTCCCCATAAAACTTCCAAAGTAGTATTTCTAAATTATAAAGCAAACAAACACCCTCTCCTTGGCCAAATGTAAGTCAAGATCCTCTGAGCCCTCTTTTCACCTAGGCCTCAACTCTGGGCTCTATCCTTGGCCCATTTAGTCCAATTTTAGCCAAGAATCCTGCTGGGTGAGTTTATCAGGAATCCCCCACCATTGATATCTGATCAAATTCTTCATCCCCCACTTTTGGTATCTGATCTCTCTTGACTTCTTATCACTCTGGTCTGAGATCAGCAAGAATCCTGTCAAGTCCATTTAGCCAGAGTCCTCCTTACTCCTAATGCTTCTTCTTAGTAATTTGCCATCTATTGACCCCCACCCTGCTCCTTGGCTATAATCATCACTTGTCATTGTATTTGGAGTTGAACTCACTTTATCTCATTTAGTGCAAAACCCCCATTACAGAAGTCTTCTTTAACAGTGCCATGAAAATGTTTTCTTTAATAAAGCAGGTTGTGGCTACCCCAACTAAAACACCTCCAGAGACTTTCCATTACACTCAGAATACCATACAAACTCCCTACCATGGCCAGTGAGGCCCTGTAGGCTCTCACCTTTCATCTTCCTTGACTTCATCTTTCTACATTATCTGCCTTACTCACTCAAGTCTAGCCACGTGGCTTTCTTGCTGTTTCTCTGGCATACCAAGTTTATCCTGCTTCTGGCATTGAGAATTGCTACTCCTTTTGGCTATAATCACATTCCCCAAGATCTGTGCATAGGTTATTCCTTCTATTTATTCCATTCCTCTTAAGAAAACTATTTCCCAACTATCCTAACTAAAACTGTACACACATACACACACACAGACACGCCTTCTGTATCCCTTACTCTGCCTTATTTTCATATAATTTATCACAACATAAAACATTTTATATTTACTCAATTTGTTTTGTTATTTTCTTTTCCCTCAAAATTTTAAGCTTCCTGGCCAGGTATGGTGGCTCATTCCTGTAATCCAAGCACTTTGGGATGCCAAGGCAGGTGGATCACCTGAAGCCAGGAGTTCGAGATCAGCCTGGCCAACATGGCGAAACCCTGTCTTTACTAAAAATACAAAAATTAGCTGGGTGTGGTGGCACGTGCCTGTAATCCCAGCTACTCAGGAGGTTGAGATAGGAAGATCACTTGAACCCAGGAGATGCAGGTTGCAGTGAGCCAAGATCATACCACTGCACTCCAGCCTGGGCAACAGAGCAAGACTCCGTCTCAAAAAAAAAAAAAAATAAGCTTCTGAAAAAGAATCATATCTAGCTTATTTTTTGCTATATTCCCCCAATGTTTAGAACAGAGACTGGCATTAGTAGATAGTTAATACTTGCTGATTGAATGAATAGTTGTTATATTTATGTATCATCTTTACTATTGCTTACTAACATTATTTTATTTAAATTGAATGCTTTTGTTACTTAAATGGTTACATTTAAAATGAAAAAAATTTGAAAGTAACTAATTGACAGTAGCATTAGCCACAATTAGAAGGTAATCTAAAAATTGGTATATTGAAAACAAAATAGTATTATTGCTGCCTAGTTAGCTATTTTTTGGTCAAAGACTCTGAGCTTAAGCCTCACTCTATTAAAAAGAAGATTACAAGGTATTGAGAAGTCCCAAGGACACACTAGCCCAAACTCAGGCTTCCTCCTCCTAAGAAAATCTGAGTAAACAAGAGGGAAATGTTTCAACTTGTAAGATTCAAAGGTATTGAATGCCGTGCCATATTACTGCTTAAAATCATCGTACAAATCATCAGCAGCAGACTTTCCTAACTTTGGAATGCCCTGCCCTAGACGGCGAAGCCCTTGTGTCTCAGATTTTAGGACTGTATAAGGAACAAAAAAACAGCCTCCTCAAGTTGCCATAACTGGCCAGAATGAACTAAAGCTTGGAAACTGATTTTCTGACCCTAGCCCAGGGTTCTATATACTAAGTTAACCATTTTCCCCATTTTACATAAAAAAAAAATGCCACTATATTTTTCCATATTTTTAACCTAGCTTTGGCATTCCCTGAAGCAATCAGATTTCCCAAGTCTTTGGTCATGAATTGCACTCAAAGTTTACCTACGGGTTAAAGCAAGGTCTGGAATAACATTTCGCACCCCTGGTGGTGCACGCCTGTAGTCCCAGCCACTTGGGAGACTGAGGTAGGAGGATCACTTGAACCCGGGAAGCAGAGGTTGCAGTGAGCGGAGATGGCGCCGCTGCGCTGCAGCCTAGGGAACAGAGCAAGACTGTGTCTCAAAAACAAAAAACAAAACATTTCACACCCCTTAATACAAAGTCAGTTATACCAAGAGTCTCTTTTTGTAAGAGCTTACAACATTTGCGTATGTGAGAAGCTGATGTACAGTCAAAATGACAGAAACAGATGCTATCTGCTGCCATCACTTAATATGAGACCTATTTTTCCATGCTGGTGAACAGAAGGCTATCAGTTGCAGAGGCTACAGGTGAAAAGGGTCTTACATTTTAGAACCTGTTGAGGATAAAATGCCACCAAACATTTTCTAAATTAAAATGCATTTTGTTTTGTTCATCTGAAAGTGATACATTTCTAGATTGGGTTAGGGCATAAAATCTGCTGCTTAATGGTTGTCCACAGGTTGATGTTTACTCTCCTGCTTTTAAGACATAAACATCCAGGTTGAAAACCTGAGCTTCTGACAACCCTAGGCATGGTAAGCATTGGTTCACTATAAATGGTTGTCACAGAAATGAGCAGAGTATTGCAAAATCAAGTTAGAACAATTTAGTTACAAAAATTAGATAACTTAAAATACCCAAAGATATTTCTGATAAAAGACTAAATCCACTATAGTATAAAGGTGTTTTATACGTCCATATTTACAAGGCTTTTCAGTCTTAATTTATTCATTTTTTCAACAACAGTAATTTATTGTTTGGAGGCAACATGGTATCGCGACTAGGGTAAAAAGTCAGCATATATACCAGTCTGTTAATTTCTCCTCACCTCTCCCACTTATTCGTTCCATGGCCTTGGATAAGAAATCTGGCTTTTCAGGGGTTCCATTTCCTCTTCTACATAAAAGTGAGAATACCTTTCAAGGCTATTGTGGAATTAAATGAAATATCATGTGAGTCCAGTATGGTGTTTGACAGCTACTAGACAATTACCAAATGCCGACCTACTCAGAGACCCCTCTACTTTGTCCAAGTGCAATGGCTCACGCCTGTAATCACAGAACTTTGGGATGCTGAGTTTGGAGGCTCCCTTGAAGCAGGAGGATCCCTTGAGGCTGACAGGATCCCTTGAGACCAGGAGTTCAAAACCAGCCTGGTCAACATAGTGAGACCTTGTAGCTACAAAAGGAAAAATTTTTAAACCAGTGGAGGTGCATGCCTGTAGTCACAGCTACTCAGGAGGTTGAGGCAGGAGGATCACTTGAGTCCAGGAGTATGATCATGATAGTGACATAGCACTTCAGCCTAGCCTAGGTGACAGAGGTAGACCCTATCTTTTAAAAAAACAAAACAAAAAGGATGTGCTGCTATGTGTACATAATGAATACAAAGTTGTGTGGTATACTCCTTCTCTCAGGAGTCACAGTGTGAAATAATTCAAACTCCTTTCTACCTTAGTGTCATACATATGATTTCGCAGTCTGAAAGCTGAATCACAATTCTACTATCTTCTGTTGTCTCATTCTTTCTCATCCTTTGGATCTCAGCTTAAATGTCACCTCCAAAGAGATATCTATGCAGACTAACCCCTAACACAAACAGTTAGCCCTAATTCTCAAG
This sequence comes from Homo sapiens, assembly GCF_000001405.40. Classification (NCBI taxonomy): domain Eukaryota; kingdom Metazoa; phylum Chordata; class Mammalia; order Primates; family Hominidae; genus Homo; species Homo sapiens. Next base: position 163,197,971 of record NC_000005.10, read on the forward strand.
ATCTCATTTATTTCTTTCACAGTGCTTCTGTTTACACAGTCATGTGTGTGTGTATGTGTTATTTGCTTTCACTACTAAACTGCAAGAGGGCTGGAAACACATTTTTCTTGTTACTTATATCCCCAGTTCCTAGATTAATGCCTAACATTTAGTAAACACTCAAAAATATTTGTTCAATAAATGAACAGAGATACAGTGTTGAACAATAAGAACACATCTTTCACTTAGGAAAATATTCTAAAGTGAGAAACAAATATAAAAACAAATTAAAAAATAATTATTAAACTATAATAGCAATACGAGCATCATGTACGTAAAATATGCTAAGAACACTTGTTTTTGAGTGAGGAAATACCTATAATATAATTTGTCAAGCACTATAATCAATGAATTTTCAAAGTGCTTTGTGAACAAAGATAGTGGAGAGAAAGATTTGTTGTACTTAGGCAGAGAAGGGAAACCTGAAGTGTCGTATAGCTGACATTCTGATCTAGGGCTCAAAGTGTAAGTATGATATTGCCAGAAGTTGAAGGAGTAGGAGAGTATTCATGATAGAGGTAAAAAAAAAAAAAAAGAAACTCGCATCTTCCATTGAACATTTGTCATACAGTGGAAAGATATCCCAAATGAGGAATAAATAGATCTAAAAATGACAGCATAGAACTTCATGTTTGGTTCCACCATGTTAAAATTTGGAAGTCATTATATCTATCCTTAGCAAAAAAAAAGCTGGACATAAGGACAAACTGAAAATCAATGACTTTTCTTGGACTCTTTAGAGAACTGAGTTTGCAGAGTGAACTGCCACCCCAAAATCCGAAGAGAAAGACTCATTCAAAGAGACAAAGCCAGAATCTGTTTAGCTAGATAGAAAATGCTGAAGCCATAAACTTAAACAGTATTATTTTCTAGGGTCCCTGTAACAAATTACCACAAACTCAGAGGCTTAAAACAATAGGGATTTATTCTCCCACCAAAAGTATAAAATAAACATTCATCAATCCATATTGATATTAACAAATGAGTGAATAAATGGGGGCGAATAGACAAATCTGTTCAGAATTCTGAAGAGTGAATGTAGATGCTGACCCCTCAAGGAGATGGAGCATAACCAACTCCCCAGTCCTTAAGTGTGGGCTGCTCAGAGTGTTTTTTTTCCAAAGAGTAGAGTATAAAAAAGAGAAAAAAAGAGTAAATCTGCAGAGGAGAAACCAAACAAACACTACCTCTGCCAGGTGATAAGGGGAGTATCAACAGTGATAGCTCATGCTGTTAGTATGTTCCCTGGATATAGTGCGGTGAGAATCACATTTTACCTCTGTGGTTCCTCCAGGAACACATCACTCCAGTCTAATCATGAGAAAAATACCAAAAAATTCCAATTGAGGAACATTTTACAAACTACGTGACCAGTACTCCTCAAAACTGTCAAGGACATTAAAAATAAAGAAAGTCTGAGAAACTTTAATAGCCAAACAGACCAAAGGAGACAAGAAACGTGGTATCCAGAAAGAGAAAAAAAAAGACATTAGGTACAAACAAATAAAATCTGAATAAACTATGTACTTCAGTTAATAACTTCCTGATATTGATTCACAAATTGTGACAAATGTATGATATTTATTTAAGATATATTAATTACAATGTAACCCGAGTCTCTGTATTGCATATGGGAGCTCTCTATTAATATCTTCACAATTAATATTGTGAAGATACTATTAATATCTTCACAATTTTGCTATAAATCTAATCTAAAATACATTTAAAGTTAAAATTATTTAAAAATAAGTATTTTCAGTGGTTATTTTATGTAAAAAATCCTATATGCATTATAGAAAACCCTACGTCTACAACACTTTCAAATAGGCGTGGAAGAAAAAGGCTAGTAAAACTTCTATACAGACAGTTATACTTACTAAAGCAATGACTCTTCAAGAACACATTCTTATCTTCATTCTTTCACTCACAAAAATGTTCTACCATACTCCTGAAAGGTACAGAAAGGCTTTGCCTTGGCAATAAACGTGAAAGAGAGAGCCATGTGCACAAATTTAAATTACAAACGTGCACTCTCCAATTTTTATACCAGGAAGTCACCATTTTTGTTCTGACGTTTTGGGTGCTCATTCGTCAGCCATTATCTGTTTTCTTATTTGCTAGCAGAGACTACCTTGGCACTATAAAGGCTGAAAACATCAGATACTCACCTTCTCAGACAACCCTGAAGTTCAGATTTGGACATATAACACTATCCTGCTCTATGGAATATGAGGGGAATTCTTCTAACAGGTTCTGGGAATGGTTTTCATTCTTAATTAAAAGACATGTAAGGAAACTCTCCTCGACCTTCCTTTCATATACACCTCATGGGTGTAACTGTATGAGGACATGATGCCTGGAGCTCTAGCAATCATGTAGCAGCCATGATGCGGTGGTCCTAATAGTAAAAGTGAAATCACCAAGAATGGTAGTTCGCTAACAGATATAGAAAGCATCGTCCTTTAAAGGCATCATCGAGCTGTTGAATCAGCTAATCCTAAAATCTGTCCCCACATCTAGACTTTTTGTTAAATGGATAATAAATATCCTCATGATTTCAGCTTCTTTTAGTTTTATTTTGTTAGAGTTAAGAGCACCATAACTGTTTTATGTCGAATTATGCCACTCTATAAATTTGTTCTTTCCCACTCCAACTTATGTTTGTCTACCTGAACCTGATCTATATATTAATCAAAGTCCAATGACATTTTTGACACCTGAAAACCTCATTCCAAGGGAAGAGAGCCCTACTCTAGTTCATTAACCTTTATTGTCTATAGCATTAGTTCAAACATCTCCCAGCACATCAGAACCATTTAGGAACTTAAAATATCCAGCTTCCCAGGCTCTGCTTCAGACGTATTAAATCAGTCGCTGAAAGGAAAAAAATCTGGAAATTTGCATTTTTAAGAAGATACTTGCATGATTGTTGTGGTCATCTATATTTAGGAAACACTGATCTACATTGCATTAATACTTAGTTTGCATGCTTATTTTCTAACGTCATAATCAGAGATTTGTTAGCTTCTAGAGGACAGAAACTAAGCCTTGGGGGTGATGATATGTTTCCGTTTTTCTGGCATATTTTCTGTCTTCTGAGGTAATATTACTTAAAGAATAGCCCACATCCATGACAGGTGTAGAAATTATTTTAGTTGGGAAATGATATGAAATGGATAAACATGATATGCTTAATTTAAAATATTGCTTAGAATCCAATTTCAAAGCAGCTTTTAAGAAGTAATGGGGATAAAGTCACCTACAGGAAACTAAGTAAAAGAGCCCTGTCAGAATCTTTTGTTCCATTAGACACCAGGAATTCTTCCAATTTTATTTTTATATTTTCATTCTATTTATTTTATATAATGGTAACTTAAACAAAAATAGTATGTAAAAAGGGTGGAGGTGGAACTCAAATGGCTAAATATTGGAGAAGATTGTTCTGTGGGATTGTAGCAAATAGATAAAGTCTTAATTTTTGTAGCTATGATGGTAATCTCTTTAACTAGAAAAAATATTGAAAGAAAGTATATCTTTCTACTTGTTTTGGTGCCTTTCACTAAGTGTTGCACAGAATAAGAAATGCATTAGTAAAAAGAGAAATAAAACCACACATTTTCTGCCCTGTACAGTGGGGAGTGCATCTTATTCACACATTCAGTCCTTCATTCATATATTCATTGAGCATCCACTATGCAGCAAGCACTTTTCTACTGGCCATTTGGATGCTGCAGTGACTAAGCAATAAAACCTGGACATTTTCATTTTTACTAAGTAATATGGTTTGGATGTTTATGCCTTCCAAACCTCATGTAGAAATGTGATCCCCAGTGTCAGAGATGGGGCATGATGATGAGTGGTTTTTGGGTCATGGGGACAGATTCCTCATGAATGGCTTGGTGCCCTTCCCATGGTAATAAGTGAGTTCTCACTCTCTTAGTTCACTGGAGAGCTGGTTGTTTAAAGGAGCCTGGCTTCTCCTCCTCTCTCTCTCATCATGTGATACACCAGTTCCCCCTTTGCCTTACACCATGATTGGAAGCTTCCTGAGGTCCTCACCAGACACAGATGCTGGCACCACACTATCTATAGAGCCTGCAGAAGCATAAGCCAAAATAAACCTCATTTCTTTATAAATTATCCAGTCTCAGGTATTCCTTTATAGCAAGCTTGTCCAATCCACGGCCCACGGGCCACATGCGGCCCAGGATGACTTTGACTGTGGCTCAACACAGTCATAAACTTTCGTAAAACATGAGGTTTTTTTGCAATTTTTTTTATCTCATCAGCTATCATTAGTGTTAATGTATTTTATGTGTGGTCCAAGATAATTTTTCTTCTTCCAATGTGTCCCAGGGAAGCCAAAAGATTGGACGCCACTGCTTTATAGCAATGCAAATGGACTAATTAACACACCAAGCCACTTAGATGATTGTGACGATCCTTCAGGTTTCAGAAGCATCAGTCAATATTACACAGATATTTAGTTCATATTTCACTAACACTCATCTCACAGAGCATATATTTTCCATGCAGGATAAAATAGTAAACAAACTTAGGACAAGTGATATATTTTATATCCAGTAACAAGAAAAGGCTCCACTAATAAGGTAACATTTGAACAAGACCTGCAGAAACAGAGTAGTAAGTAATGGGATATCTAGGAGAAGGGTGTTCCAGAAAGAAGAATCAAGGAAGTCCCTGGAGCAAGAGCTTAACTGGGAATTTTTATTTTTTTTTTTTTTTGAGATGGAGTTTCGCTGTGTTTGCCCAGGCTGGAGTACAATGGCGTGATCCTGGCTCACCGCAACCTCTGCCTCCCAGGTTCAAGCAATTCTCCTGCCTCAGCCTCCCGAATAGCTGAGATTACAGGCATGCACTATTACGCCCAGCTCATTTTGTATTTTTAGTAGAGATGGGGTTTCTCCATGTTGAGGCTGGTCTCAAACTCCTGACCTCAGGTGATCCGCCCGCCTCAGCCTCCCAAAATGCTGGGATTACAGGCATGAGCCACCACGCCAAGCCCTTAACTGGAATATTTAAGAGATAGCAAGGAGACCAGTATGCCCGGGAAGCTGAGTGACAAGGAAAAGAGTAGAGAATCAGGTTAAAGAAGTAGTGGAGGGGCTGATCTTGAAAACCTAAGCTATTGAAAAGTCTTTAGTATTTATTCTGGAAGAAAAGAGAGGCCACTTGAAGATTCTGAGAAGGGCATGATCTCACTTATGTTTAAAAAATATATTCTGCCTGCTGTGTTGAGTGTAGACCATAGAAGAAGTGTGGCAGCAGGAAGATGAGTTGGATGATGAAAGCAGTAACGTGGGCAGGTTGAACTATGATGGTCATGATGAAAGGGACAAGAAAGAGATCAGTTATCTGTGTATTTTGACAATAGAGCCAACAGGATTTCCTGAAGGCTTAGAAGTGAGATTTTGAAAAAAAAACTGAGGAATAAAGGATAACTGCATGGTTTTTGATTTTGTTCTTTTGTTTTGCTTACTTTGGGGCTTTTTATGTGTTTTTTTATTTTGTTTTGTCTTGTCTGAGCAACTGGAAGGAAAGAGTTTCCATTTATTAAAGTAAGAAAGACTCTTAGAAGAGTAATGTTGGAAAAGAAAGAGCAAAATTGGAGTTCACTTTAGTACCTACAATATTAAGTTTAATATGTCTACAGTATATCAAAGTGGAATGACAAGCAGACATTTGAATATATGAGTCTGGAGATGAGGAAAGAGGTCAAGAGTAGGACAAATTTTGGAGTTGTTAATATTTAGAAGATATTAAAGTAATGAGATCTGAAAGATTCACAGAGTAGGGCAGTCTGGATTAAAGAAAAGTCACGATGTAAAGATTTAGCCTTGAGGCAACACAAATAAGTTGGGAAGATAAGGAGAAACTAGCAAAGACTGAAAGAAAGAGCCCAGTGAGGTATAAAAAGAACCAAGAAAATTGGTATCCACAAAACTAAGTTGAAAATTAGGGCATGAACACTGGTGTCAAATGATCTGAAAGGTCAAAGGAAATAAGAACTGGGGACTGAACATTACATCAAATAAAAGGAAAATCATTCATGATCTTGACAAGCACAATTTTGACAGATTGAGGGGGAGGCCAAGAGTGAATGAGAGGAGTGATCTTGGGCACAGCTGATAGGGATAGGTATTTCTAGAAGTTTTGTCATAGAGTTCCTGAAGAATGTGATAGGAGTGAGAGGAGGAAATACAACAAAGAGATTTATTTAATGGGTAATTTTCCATCATGTGATTATACTGATCAAAAATTACAGTGGAAAAATTGATTTACAGGAGAGAGAAGAATGTCTAGATAATATCCTTGGAAAATCACAGGAAAATGGAAGCTAATGAACCAGAGGAAGTGTTGGCCTCAGGTAGGAAAACAGACAGTTTTTCCATAGTCAAAGAAGGGATGTCAGGATAAGTAGATAAAGATGCAAGTAGCTCATGTATGTAGTAGCAACGAATGTACTAGACTCTACCGGACTTCAAAAATCCTAAAAATCTGCATTTTATTTAACAAGAAAGAAAAATATATCATGATTTTGTTTTTACACGAATAGCCTTTATTAGAGGATTTTAGTTGGATCCAAGTACTAAACATGGTTTCACAAAGGTATTCTGACTCAATTAGTTGGAAAGGAAAAGTACAAAAAAATTAATATTCAGATATGTAATCAATCAAAACCATCTTGCATTCAAATGCCTCCTAATAATAAATGAGGGCCTGAAGTTTGAAAACTTTCTTCCACTTTAGTACATTACTCTTACTATTTTTACTATTCACCATATGATTAATAATAGCATAACTCAATGATGTCTAATTTCCTTTTGACCATAGTTGGTCCAAGCTACAGGATGAGGCAATCAACTGTAGCCTGAAATAGTCAATGCTGACATATCTTTATCAACTTTCCCAAACAATTTGACTTAACAGTCCTCAAGTTATAATAAATTTGATATTGAAATATTTTCAAAGCCTGGAAAAACTGATAATGCTACTAAATGGTGCACATCGGGATGGCATCCAAAGGTGATTAACTGCTTACTCTCTCACTTCAGGCCAAAGTCCATGGAATGCTGAAGCATCAAGTTCTTAGATCAGGGTCAGACTTGATTAATGCCCAAAATAAATCAATAATATAGGAAAAGTTGAACAAGATTGGCGGTTAAGCCCTTGAGAACAACTGAGGTTTGCATTTCTCATTCTGATGAGCTAACAACAACAACAAAAAGAAATACTGAAACTAGACAAGCAGTTGTAAAATGTAAGTGTATTTTTCCATAGACTAGAAGTTTATATAGCATATTCTCATATGAGAATATATGCCATATTTTCAATATTCAATAGCACCCCTAAGTGAAAAAAAATCTTTGCCCTATTTAAGACGATCTGATATTTATATATATATAACTACTACTGTCTATATTTATGTATATGTATATGGATGTTTATATGAAAACTTCTCACAATTGGCCACAAAATTATGGCTGAACCAAGACCTGCAATTACTTTATTTTTGTTAGTTGTCAGGAATCAGTTATTCTTCTGCTTCTGATATATTATATTACTTCTATCTCTTTCTATCTTAGCAGACAGTGAGTCGCCCTAAAAGCAGAACAATTCTTTTTGGTAGTACAAAATTAAATTGTTTACTTGCAAATATTGAAAGCTTTTAGAATTTGAACCTAGACTTTATCCATCATTTGGTAACCTATCCTTCAGTATGGCCAAATGAAAATATAAAATACTTTGCTCTGAAAGGGAGAAATGTCATTATGTAATAGGCAAGATTGTCATTTTTTGGGATATTACTTGCTGAGTCATTAATAAATAGATAAATCTGCATGAGGTGCATGTCCTTGGAAAATCAACACTGGTAATTTGAAAGAAATGCAAGCCCCTGACAATCAGAAGAGGTGGTGTTGTAAAGGACAAGTGGAGCCTTTCAAGTGTTCTAACCTGCATGAATCATTAATATTTCTTCAATTATTTAGGATACAATTTTTAGTTTTTACTGAAGGCATCATGAGAAGATTTCTCATAGCCATGTTTAGTGGTTACAATACCACTTCTATTAACCTAAATGAGAATATCTCATTTTATGTATGTGCCCACAACCACATCTCAATGCTAAAGATCAAATGCAAAGTTCAATAGATTTTTTTTAACATTAACCAGTTTCTCTGTATTCATCTCCAGAGTTACTAAAAGCACTTTTACATTTTAAAATGCCTGTGTCATAAGGAACAGCAGCAGAAACAACTAGAAATATAATTGGGCCCACTGTCATTAGCTGATTTATAATTCCACATGTAAAATATAATAATATACATGCATTAATGGTTTTAACCATAGTTTTCTACCTGTGGAACCAAATGTAGCTTTTCTCATTTTTTTCCTAACTAGAAATTTCAGGCTGAGTCGCAGCTAGAACTCAAAAAAAGGAGGAAAATTAGTCAGAAAGTCTTTGAAACAAGCTATTAAAAAGTACCTAATTTTCTTATCCATATTAATAGAAAACAATTCTCTCTATATAATGTCATCTAATACTATAAATGCAAAGTAATGTCATACGTAAAATAGACTTTCACTAACATTAGAAGCATTTCTTCGGGATTCAGTCCCCCCCAGCTCCTTGTTTTTGAGACAAGATCTCACTCTGTTGCTCAGGCTGGCGTGTAGTTCCATAACTATAGCTCACTAGAACCTCAAACTCCTGGATCCAGCAATCTTCCCACCTCAGCCTCCTGAGTAGCTGGGACTACAGGCACATGCTACCACGTGCGGCTCATTGAAAAAAAATTAGAGATAGGGTCTTTCTGTGTTGCCCAGCCTAGTTTTGAACTACTGGCCTCAGGCAATCTTCCTGCCTCAGACTCCCAAAGTGCTAGGATTACAGGTGTGAGCTACCACCCCTGGCCAGGATCCACTTCTTCACTCTTTGTGTCTTTTTTGTGGTTGGGAAGCGCATAAAATGTACAGAATCCTCACCCTTGATTATACGCAAGAACAAGCCCTGGTTATCTGAAATCTATCTTTTTCATCAGGAGGAATGCAATTCCACAACTCCCGAGGAACCCATGGCTTAGATTTCATTATTTATGATTTGTGTTCCGATTATGAGGCAACATTCAGAAAGCAAGATAAATGGAAACGTTTTTCAGTTTCCATTAGTGACAGCAGCTTGTCATGTTCCTGTAGCAAACCCCAGCAGTTGTTCACACATGGCATAAATGGTAGAAACTAGTTACCACTCCACATCTACCAAAATGTGAACATTATTTCTTATCCTCTTGCTTTCTACCCTACCCTCCAGTAAGGTTATAGCGATTAAATATTCAGTAGATGACATATTCAACAATTCTGTAGACCCAAATATACCCAAACAGTATTTTTCATTAAAAAGGAGGGTTTTTTCCCATTCATCAATAATGCATTAAAAATGTGTTTCTACACATTCTAATGGCAATATAGCTTAGTAGAGAAAAAGGAGGCATTAATGATTGAAGACCTACAGGCTACTCTAAGCCACTAAACATTTACTATTGCAATTCTGTCATTTTTCAGCTTCCCTTGCTAGGATATGGGACTGGGACCTGATTACAAACAAGGGCTGTGAGATTTTGATTAAGAGAATGCTAGATACATGGTTACAATGGACAGTCAAGGGCAGCGCGCACTTTCCAATTCTATCATCATGACACGCTTCCCCATCGGGGAATAGGCAATGACATAGTGAGAAAACAAGTTCAATGGAGAATGTCTTTGTGATCGAGTCAGGTCTCAAGGCAGAATTTTAAAAAGTGTGTATCCCGGCAATCCCACGATTTTTTACAGTCTTTTCCTTTCACTTGTTTAAACAGAAGCAAGGATCCATCTATTACCTTCCCAACCTGCCCATCGTGGCTACTTCAGAAACCAGAGTTCACGTCTAATTGGCTCATTCATTCTGAGAGCAGAGACACAGAAAGGGAATCTAATTTCACAGTACATGTTGTGTTTTTATTAACTTGTGCATTGAAGAAAAGTCCAGCCATGTTTTAGAAAATCTATAAATAAGTACAAAGCACAAACCAGTTCCTTCCCTATGAACACTTTCCTCTGGAAAAATCTCTTAACTAACTTTCAGCTAAATTACTCACTAGATTAACAAACCCACTCTATTCCCTCTTATAAACTCAGGAAACTGTCTAATACCCATGTCATAATAAAATTATAGGAGTCTGTAAGAGATAAGAAAACCAAAGTGTTTTTCCTCCTCTCACACACTCAACACAGCACAGTTCACCTCTGGTCAACAAAGTGTTGTAGGGGACTTCTTCCCAAAACAATCAGTTCTCTAGCACATACCAACTGGTTGTCCTATAATTCACTTCAGTTCCAGTACTGCCTGTCTGGAGATAGTGTCAGGTCTCACATATTAAGAGCTCAGTCCCACAAGACTGCTTCCACTTCAGATGTCATTGTAAGCCACAGGTTGTGAGCTGTGCTTCTGACCAACTAGCTATAAATCAAGGCTCCCATGACCCCCTCCTTGAGTTTGATTATTTTTCTAGAACGGCTCACAGAACTCAGGGAACACTACTGTTGACTGGTTTATTTAGAGGATATAACAAATGATATAGATGAACAGCCAGATGGAAGAGGTGCAGAGGGCAAAGCATGTGGCAGGAGTAAGGAGCTTCCATGCTCTCTCTGGGCACCTCACACTCCAGGAACCTTCATGTGTTCAGCAATCTGGAAGCTCTTGAGCCCTTCAAAGCTAGTCCTTTTGGGTTTTTATAGAGGCTTCTTTATGTAGATAAGATTGATTAAATCATGTGCCATTGGTGATTGACTCAATCTTCAGCTCCTATCCACTCCTAGAAGATTGGGGTGTTGGGCTGAAATTTCCAACCCTCTAATCCTGCCTCTCTTTCTGGTGAGCAGCCCCCATTATGAAGCTATATAGGGGCCCCCAGGCACCAATCGTCTCATTAGTGTTCAAAAAGATATCACTTTGGAGATTTCAAGGTTTTAGGCACTATGTGCTAGGAACAAGAAGCAGAAACCAAATACATTTTTCTTATTGTATCACAATATCACCGCATCCTCCTAGCACTCTACCCAATTATGGGCCCACCAGTTGGGCTGTAAGAGTCAGTTGTGTTTGTTTGTTCCTATTGGCTTTCTACCAGCTGCACTTGTTGAGGTAATTAGAACATTTTATTAACTATTACATAAACAACTGAAATAAGAGTTCAAAAAGAATGAAAAGGTGTTTTGCTATGAAAACTAAATTGGATGTTTCAAAAACATGTTCTAAATGTGACCACTATCAAAAATTGCTATATAATTTGGTGTGAATGAGGTGGAGGCATTACATCCACAAAAGTCTAGATGGAGAGTGGAAGCCGGCAGCTCCACAAAGATTTTAAAATTCTGACCCTTTTTGAAGAACTAGAATCTGGAAACAGGATATGAGAGATAAAGCATCATGGGTGTAGTTTAGCCACGAAAAAAGATGCAGAATGTCAATCATTGAGGCTCATCTCAAAGGAAGGCCTCAAATTATTTTAATGAAATTGGCAAAGGAATAGAGAATGTCGCATTCTTAGGATGGTTCAACTTACAATTTTTCGACTTTCCGATGGTTTTTCAGGGTATTAAATGCATTTCGACTTACGATATTTTCAATTTACCTTAAGTTTAGTAGGACTTAACGCCACTGTAAGTCGAGTGTATGCGCTTCATTTTTTATGATTCTCTCTCCAAATAACTCTCTCAATTAATTCACCACCCATTGTTCCTAATTGCCTCGGGTAGGAGGGCTTCTTTTGTTTTCCTAATCTAACCATGTTTCACTTTCTCCTGATGCTCACTTTGCTTCTCCCAAGCCAAATCCGACTGAATAATATTTATTAAGAAATCTCCCTGTAGCAGGACTAAAAATGCTGGCAAGTAAAAAGACTGCAAGGCTTTGCATTCTAACAGGGAGTAGTGATAAATTCTATCCACCTGAATGAATCAAGGTTTCTTCTGGCTTCCATTTACTTTTTTTTAAATTATCCTACTTTAAGTTCTGGGATACATGTGCAGAACATGATGGTTTGTTACACAGGTATACATGTGCCATGGTGGTGTGCTGCACCTATCAACCCGTCATCTACATTAGGTATTTCTCCTAATGCTATACCTCCCTTAGCCCCCAACCCTCCGACAGGCCTCAGTGTGTGATTTTCCCCTCCCTGTGTCCATGTGTTCTCATTGTTCAACTCCCACTTATGAGTGAGAACACGCAGTGTTTGGTTCTCTGTTCTTGTGTTGGTTTGCTGAGAATGATGATTTCCAGCTTTATCCATGTCCCTGCAAAGGACATGAACTTATCCTTTTTTATGGCTGCATAGTATTCCATGGTGTATATGTGCCACATTTTCTTTATCCAGTCTATCATTGATGGGCATTAACCCTGTTATCATCCCATGACATTTAGAGCGAAGAGGGTGGCCAAGTTGTTCATCCAGATGTAATTTACGGCAATTTAAACTGAGTCTAGAAGTTAATAACTTTAAAATAATGCATGCACCTCATACTGAGTTTAATTTGGGTTTATTAAAAGATGGGTAATTTATGCCTTTTTGCCCTTCATGTATCCTCCTTTAAAAACAAGTTTACCAGGAATTGAATAAAAGCTTTCATGGCACTCTCAATATTTTCTGAATTGTCAGCTTTTTTTAAAAAAAACAGCTTGTCAGAACTTAAATGGTTAAAAAAGATTCACCAGCTTACCTACAACTCCTCCTTGGGCACAATATCAGCAGAAAGCACATTTCTCTTCACTCTGAAATTGTAGAAAGTGACACCGTTGTGAAGCCTCTGGGACTCCTCACTAAAATGAATATTCAGCACCAAGAACAGAAACTTTGGCACATCACATTAAATGTAACCTTAAGAAGGCTTATCATTTTAAAGTCATGTGCATCTTATTCCCCCAGATTTCTCTTCTCAACTGTCTAACATGACTCGGCATCTCAACCCAGTCAGCATTCATTTCGCATACCTGAGGGAGAAAGAGAATAGCTCCCTCACTGAAGCTCTAGCGCAAGGAGTTTGGGCCAGTCACCTGTAACAGCCATGCAACCATCAAATATTCAGTATTAAATCAACCAAGGCTATCAGGAGAAAGCCTTGCATACTATTCAAGTCCTTTAAGGGTAAGAATGTATTAGAAATTTTCAGCTACAATTCTTTGGTTGCAAATATCAGAAACTCAAGGAAGCTGGCTTAAGCAACAGCAGGAATATATTGTTTCACTTATCCTAGAGGTAACAGGGGCGTGAGGTGGCCTCAGGCACAGATAGTCGACAGGTTCAAACAATGTCATCATGTATCTCACTCCTTGCCTAATCTCTACTTTTCTAGTTAACCTGCACTATATAAATACAGAGATGAGGTGTATGTGGTCCTCAGAGTCTGCAAATTCAATAACAACAGCACCCCTGAGAGTCTGTGTCAGTTATTTGACTATACCATCCCTATTTGCTTTACATGCCCATGCTTTGGTAGGAAACTCAGGACCACATGCTTTTTTTTTATTTTTATTTTTTTTTTGAGGGAGTCTTGCTCTGTCACCCAGGCTGGAGTGCAGTGGCATGATCTTGGTTCAAGCGATTCTCCTGCCTCAGACCCCCAAGTAGCTGAGACTACAGGTGCGCACCACCATGCTTGGCTAATTTTTATATTTTAGTAGAGATGGAGTTTCACCACTTTGTTCAGGCTTGTCTCAAATTCCTGACCTTAAATGATCTGCCCGCAACCTCAGCCTCCCAAAGTGCTGGGATTACAGACGAGCCACCATGCCCGGCCAGGACCACATATTTAAGAACCCTTTCAGAATTGGAGGATGTGGGGCCCAGGCCCTGTGGCTCACACCTATAATCCCAGCACTTTAGGAGACTGAGGCAAGAGGATCACTTGAGGCCAGGAATTCGAGACCAGCTTGGATAACATGGTGAAACTCTCTCTCTCCTAAAAAATGTATACAAAAATTAGCTGGGTTTGGTGGTGCATGCCTGTAATCCCTGATACTTGGGAGGCTGAGGCACAAGAATTTCTTGAACCCAGAGTGAGGTTCCAAGATGGCCAAATAGGAACAGCTCCAGTCTACAGCTCCCAGTGGCGAATTCCCTTTCCTAGCCAAGGGAAGCCATGACAGATGGTACCTGGAAAATTGGGACACTCCCACCTTAATACTGCACGTTTCCAATGGTCTTAGCAAACAGCACACCAGGAGATTATACCCCACGCCTGGCTTGGAGGGTCCCATGCCCATGGAGCCTCACTCACTGCTAGCACAGCAATCTGAGATCGAACTGCAAGGTGGCAGCGAGGCTGCGGGAGGGGCATCCGCCATTGCTGAGGCTTGAGTAGGTAAACAAAGCAGCCGGAAAGCTCGAACTGGGTGGAGCCCACCACAGCTCAAGGAGGCCTGCCTGCCTCTGTAGGCTCCACCTCTGGGGGCAGGGCATAGCTGAACAAAAGGCAGCAGAAACTTCTGCAGACTTAAACGTCCCTGTCTGACAGCTTTGAAGAGAGAAGTGGTTCTCCCAGTATGGAGTTTGAGATCTGAGAACGGACAGATTGCCTCCTCAAGTGGGTCTCTGACCCCTGAGTAGCCTAACTGGGAGACACATCCCAGTAGGGGCCGACTGACACCTCATACAGCTGGGTGCCCCTCTGAGACAAAGCTTCCAGAGGAAGGATAAGGCAGCAACATTTGCCGTTCTGCAATATTTATTGTTCTACAGCCTCTGCTGGTGATATCCAGGCAAACAGGCTCTGGTGTGGACCTCCAGCAAACTCCAACAAACCGGCAGCTGAGGGTCCTGACTGTTAGAAGGAAAACTAACAAACAGAAAGGACATCCACACCAAAACCCCACCTGTACATCACCGTCATCAAAGACCAAAGGTAGATAAAACCACAAATATGGGGAGAAACCAGAGTAGAAAAGCTGAAAATTCTAAAAATCAGAGCATCTCTTCTGCTCCAAAGGAACACAGCTCCTCACCAGCAATGGAACAAAGCTGGACGGAGAATGACTTTGACGAGTTGAGAAAAGAAGGCTTCAGACAATCGGTAATAACAAACTTCTCCGAACTAAAGGACAATGTTCGAACCCATCGCAAAGAAGCTAAAAACCTTGAAAAAAGATTAGACGAATGGCTATCTAGAATAAACAGTGTAGAGAAGACTTGAAATGACCTGATGGAGCTGAAAACCATGGCACGACAACTATGTGATGCATGCACAAGCTTCAGTAGCCAATTTGATCAAAGTGGAAGAAAGGGTATCAGTGATTGAAGATCAAATGAATAAAATGAAATGAGAAGAGAAGTTTAGAGAAAAAAGAGTAAAAAGAAACAAACAAAGCTTCCAAGAAATATGGGACTATGTGAAAAGACCAAATCTACATCTGATTGGTGTACCTGAAAGTGACGGAGAGAATGTAACCAATTTGGAAAACACTCTGCAGGATATTATCCAGGAGAACTTCCCCAGCCTAGCAAGGCAGGCCAACATTGAAATTCAGGAAATACAGACAACGCCACAAAGATATTCCTCAAGAAGAGCAACTCCAAGACACATAATTGTCAGATTCACCAAAGTTAAAATGAAAGAAATAAATGTTAAGGGCAGCCAGAGAGAAAGATCAGGTTACCAACAAAGGGAAGCCCATCAGACTAACAGCGGATCTCTCGGCAGAAACCCTACAAGCCAGAAGAGAGTGAGGGCCAATATTCAACATTCTTCAAGAAAAGAATTTTTAACTCAGAATTTCATATCCAGCCAAACTAAGCTTCATAAGTGAAGGAGAAATAAAATCCTATACAGACAAAAAAATGCTGAGAGATTTTGTCACCACCAGGCCTGCCTTACAAGAGCTCCTGAAGGAAGCACTAAACATGGAAAGGAACAACCAGTACCAGCCACTGCAAAAACATATCAAATTGTAAAGATCATCAACGCTAGGAAGAAACTGCATCAACTAATGGGCAAAATAACCAGCTAACATCATAATGACAGGATCAAATTCACACATAACAATATTAACCTTAAATGTAAATGGGCTAAATGCTTGAATTAAAAGATACAGATCGGCAAATTGGATAAAGAGTCAAGACTCATCAGTGTGCTGTATTCAGGAGACCCATCTCATGTGCAGAGGCACACATAGGCTCAAAATAAAGGGATGGAGGATAATCTACCAAGCAAATGAAAAACAAAAAAAGCAGAGATTGCAATCCTAGTCTCTGACAAAACAGACTATAAACCAACAAAGATGAAAAGAGACAAAGAAAGCCATTACATAATGGTAAAGGGATCAACTCAAAAAGAAGAGCTAACTAACCTGAGTATATATGCACCCAATACCCAGATTCATAAAGTAAGCCCTTAGTGGCTTACAAAGAGACTTAGACTCCCACACAATAATAATGGGAGGCTTTGACACCCCACTATCAACATTAGACAGATCAACAAGACAGAAAGTTAACAAGGATATCCAAGACTTCAACTCAGCTCTGCACCAAGTGGACCTAATAGACATCTACAGAACTCTCCACCCTAAATCAACAGAATATACATTCTTCTCAGCACCACATCATACTTATTCCAAAATTGACCACATAGTTGGAAGTAAAACACTCCTCAGCAAATGTAAAAGAACAGAAATTATAAAAAACTGTCTCTCAAACCACAGTGCAATCAAACTAGAACTCAGGATTAAGAAAGTCACTCAAAACCACTCAATTACATAGAAACTGAACAACCTGCTCCTGAATGACTACTGGTACATAACAAAATGAAGGCAGAAATAAAGATGTTCTTTGAAACCAATGAGAACAAAGACACAACATACCAACCAGAATCTCTGGGACATATTTAAAGCAGTGTGTAGAGGGAAATTCATAACACTAAATGCCCACAAGAGAAAGCAGGAAAGATGTAAAATTGACACCCTAACTTCACAATTAAAAGAACTAGAGAAGCAAGAGCAAACACATTCAAAAGCTAGCAGAAGGCAAGAAATAACTAAGATCAGAGCAGAACTGAAGGCAATACAGACACAAAAAACCCTTCAAAAAATCAATGAATCCAGGAGCCGGTTTTTGGAAAAGATCAACAAAATTGATAGACCTAGTACTAGCAAGACTAATTAAGAAGAAAAGAGAGAAGAATCAAATAGATGCAATAAAAAATGATAAAGGGGATATGACAACTGATCCCACAGAAATACAAACTACCATCAGAGAATACTATAAACACCTCTATGCAAATAAACTAGAATATCTAGAAGAAATGGATAATTTCCTGGACACATATACCATCTCAAGACTGAACCAGAAAGAAATTGAACCCCTGAATAGACCAATAACAGGCTCTGAAATTGAGGCAATAATTAATAGCCTACCAACCAAAAAAAGTTGAGGACCAAACAGATTCACACCCGAATTCTACCAGTGGTACAAAGAGGAGCTGGTACCATTCCTTCTGAAACTATTCCCATGAATAGAAAAAGAGGGACTCCTCTCTAACTCATTTTATGAGGCCAGCATCATCCTGATACCAAAGCCTGGCAGACACACAACAAAAAAAAAGAGAATTTTAGACCGATATCCCTGATGAACATTGATGCAAAAATCCTCAATACAATACTGGCAAACTGAATCCAACAGCACATCAAAAAGTGTACTGACCATGATCAAATTGGCTTCATCCCTGGGATGCAAGGCTGGTTCAACATACGCTAATCAATAAATGTAATCCATCATATAAACAGAACCAAAGACGAAAACCACTTGATTATCTCAATAGATGCAGAAAAGGCCTTTGACAAAATTCAACAACCCTTCATGCTAAAAACTCTCAATAAAATAGTTATTGATGGGATGTATCTCAAAATAATAAGAGCTATTTATGACAAACCCACAGCCAATATCATACTGAATGGGCAAAAACTGGAAGCATTCCCTTTGAAAACTGGCACAAGACAGGGATGCCCTCTCACACCACTCCTATTCAACATAGTGTTGCAAGTTTTGGCCAGGGCAATCAGGCAGGAGAAAGAAAAAAAGAGTATTAAGTTAGGAAAGGAGGAAGTCAAATTTTCCCTGTTTGCAGATGACATGATTGTATATTTAGAAAACCTCATCATCTCAGCCCAAAATCTCCTTAAGCTGATAAGCAACTTCAGCAAAGTCTCAGGATACAAAATCAATGTGCGAAAATCACAAGCATTCCTATACAACAACAACAGACAAACAAAAAGCCAAACCATGAGTGAACTCCCATTCACAATTGCTTCAAAGAGAATAAAATACCTAGGAATCCAACTTACAAGGGATGTAAAGGACCTCTTCAAGGAGAACTACAAACCACTGCTCAATGAAATAAAAGAGGACACAAACAAATGGAACAACATTCCATGCTCATGGACAGGAAGAATCAATATCATGAAAATGGCCATACTGCCCAAGATAATTTATAGATTTAATGCCATCCCCATCAAGCTACCAATGACTTTCTTCACAGAATTGGAAAAAACTACTTTAAAGTTCATATGGAACCAAAAAAGAGCCTGCATCGCCAAGACAATCCTAAGCCAAAAGAACAAAGCTGGAGGCATCATGCTACCTGACTTCAAACTATACTACAAGGCTACAGTAACTAAAACAGCATGCTACTGGTACCAAAACAGAGATATAGACCAATGGAACAGAACAGAGCCTTCAGAAATAATACCACACATCTACAACCATCTGATATTTGACAAACCTGACTAAAACAAGAAATGGGGAAAGGATTCCCTATTTAATAAATGGTGCTGGGAAAACTGGCTAGCCATACATAGAAAGCTGAAACTGGATCCCTTCCTTACACCTTATGCAAAAATTAATTCAAGATGGACTAAAGACTTAAATATTAGACCTAAAACCATAATAAGCCTAGAAGAAAACCTAGGCAATACCATTCAGGCATAGGCATGGGCAAGGACTTCATGACTAAAACACCAAAGGCAATGACAACAAAAGCCAAAATTGACAAATGGGATCTAATTAAACTAAAGAGCTTCTTCACAGCAAAAGAAACTACCATCAGAGTGAACAGGCAACCTACAGAACGGGTGAAAATTTTTACAATCTACCCATCTGACAAAGAGCTAATATTTAGAATCTACAAATAACGTAAACAAATTTACAAGAAAAACTCAAACAACCCCATCAAAAAGTGGGCAAAGGATATGAAGAGACACTTCTCAAAAGAAGACATTTATGCAGCCAAAAGACACATGAAAATATGCTCATCATCACTGGCCATCAGAGAAATGCAAATCAAAACCACAATGAGATACCATCTCATGCCAGTTAGAATGGTGATCATTAAAAAGTCAGGAAACAACAGGTCCTGGAGAGGATATGGAGAAATAGGAACACTTTTACACTGTTGGTGGGACTGTAAACTAGTTCAACCATTGTGGAAGACAGTGTGGCGATTCCTCAAGTATCTAGAACTAGAAATCCCATTTGACCCAGCCATCCCATTACTGGGTATATACCCAAAG
This sequence comes from Homo sapiens, assembly GCF_000001405.40. NCBI lineage: Eukaryota > Metazoa > Chordata > Mammalia > Primates > Hominidae > Homo > Homo sapiens. Next base: position 163,217,631 of record NC_000005.10, read on the forward strand.
GATTATAAATCATGCTGCTATAAAGACACATGCACACATATGTTTATTGCGGCACTATTCACAATAGCAAAGACTTGGAACCAACCCAAATGTCCATCAATGATAGACTGGATTAAGAAAATGTGGCACATATACACCATGGAATACTATGCAGCTATAAAAAAGGATGAGTTCATGTCCTTTGTAGGGACATGGATGAAGCTGGAAACCATCATTCTGAGCAAACAATTGCAAGGACAGAAAACCAAACACCACATGTTCTCACTCATAGGGGAAATTGAACAATGAGAACACTTGGACACAGGGTGGGGAACATCACACACCAGGGCCTGTCGTGGGGTGGGGGGATGGGGGAGGGATAGCATTAGGAGATATACTTAATGTAAATGATGAGTTAATGGGTGCAGCACACCAACATGACATATATATACCTATGTAACAAACCTGCACGTTGTGCACATGTACCCTAGAACTTAAAGTATTTAAAAAAAAAAAAAAAGAATTGCTTGAACCCAGGAGGCAGAAATTGCCGTCAGCCAAGATCACACCACACTGCACTCCAGCCTAGGCAACAGAGCTAAACCCTGTCTCAAAAGGAAAAAAAAAAAAAAAGAATTGCAGGAAGTAGGGGGAAAAAAGACAGTTCCTAAAATGAACAGATGCAGAACAGATCAAAAAATAAATTAAAAAGTAGCCAACATCCACATATATCCCTTATCACAGCCAACAGGGGAGGTAGGTAGGGAGGGTATATGTGGGGTAATGGAAAGGATGCAAACTTTGGAGGCAGAGTTCTGTCTTTGAAAACTATTTCTACCACCTACAAGCTGTGACTGCCTGAGTCACATTTTTTAGCCTGTTTTCCCATCCACAAAGCAAGTCCTACCATGGAGGGTTATTTCAAGAATCAGATGTCTTCCTTGTAAAGCACCTAGCATGGGGCTTACCATATAGTAGATGGTCAGTAAAAGACAGTTCCTATTACTTGGGTGGAGCAAAAGAGCCAAGATTAATGTTAAATCTCAACCAAAAAGAAGCAGAGAGTTGGAAAGATATTTAAAATATAAGTTTACCCTCTTTAATAGCGAGTAAATAAATGATCATAATTTCTTTAAAATGTTTCAAATTAGAATTAGCATTAACTGGCTGGGCACAGTGGCTCACACCTGTAATCCCAGCACTTTGGGAGGCAGAGGTGAGAAGATCACTTAAGGTCAGGGGTTCAAGACCAGCCTGGCCAACATGGTGAAACCCCGCCTCTACTAAAAATACAAAAATCAGCCAGATGTGGTGGCACATGCTTGTAATCCCATCTACTTGGGAGGCTGAGGCATGAGAATCACTTGAACCCAGGAGGCAGAGGGTGCAGTGAGCTGAAATGGTGCCACTGCACTCCAGCCTGGGCGACAGAGCAAGACTCTGTCTCAAAAAAAAAAAAAAAAAGAATTAGCATTACCTTATAAAAATACATTGTATTTCATATAAGTATATATTTTTTTTCTTTTTGAGATAGGGTATCTCTCTGTCACCCAGGCAAGTGCAGTGGCAAGATCATAGCTTACTGCAACCTCAAACTCCTGGGCTCAGGTGCTCTTCCCCATCCCAGCCCCCCAAGTAGCAAGGACTGTAGGTGCACACCACGACACCCGGTTAATTCTTTTATTTTCTTGTAGAGAAAGGGTCTTCCTGTGTTGCCCAGGTTGGTCTCAAACTCCTGGCCTCGAGTGATCCTCCCACCTCGGTCTCCCAAAGTGCTGGGATTACAGGCATGACCCACTGCACTAGGACTTAATATATTGTTATATGGTGTTTGCTAAAGTATTACATTGGCTCATTTACAAACAAAGCATGTGCTCAGGGTGTGTAGTTGCAATAAATATGTTGGGAATGTTTTCAGTCTCAATATTCACATTGATATTTAATACACTCTGAATAATTAGCACAAATCAAAATAGGCTAAATATGTTTTTAAAATCAGCACTAAGCTCAGGGAAGAGCAAAGCCTTATGGATATGAAGCGGAAGGCTATTTAGTATTTGAAATCCCATTTCTGACACTCACACTAACCCCCCTCTAACCCTGACTGCCAGTGCACTGAATTCTCAGTGCTCCACTAGCTGTGAAAGAGGAAGCTGCTGGGCCCCAATCACCTCCAAAAGATAGTTTGTGTTTGAGAACATGGCATGGAAAAAGAAAAAAAATGATTTCAATTCTTAAATTTCACTCGCCTCTCAGGACAATTTCAGTAAGTGAACACTTAATTAATATGTATCTATCCCTTTTATTATACGCAAAGATTATATAGGTTTTAATGTATAACACCAAATTTATTAAATAGCTATATTTCATAGTTAATGTAGGAATTCAAGTTCACAGAATCACAGAACAATAGAGCCAGAGGTAGCCCTGAAATTGAACTACTCCAATCTCTTTAGTTTACAGATGAGGAGAATCAGGATAGAGTTCATATTTTCTGGCATAAGTACAGAGAAATTTCATTTTACCATCCCACGTAAGCAGGAAATTGTTAAAGGTTTAAAAGTAATTTTCAAAGCAGTATTAGTTCTTTCAACTATAAAGAGACAAAGAATATAAATAAGAAAACAAATATGTAAGAGAAAGCCCTGAACACAGATATACAGATTAGGGTCTAGAAACTGGTTGAAAAGATTCAGAAAAACCATCAACCAGAGATGAACAGGACAGGAGGCGAAAGAGAGCCTCTGAGAATTTTCACTTTATAACTTCTGCATCTCACAAAGATTGCACATGACTATCTCCAGAGTAGAGTTAGATAGACATACCTCAGAGGGAGAACTAAATACTAGAATTACATGAAAAATTTCACCATACTAACCAATGTAAAGTTATTAAACTAGCATTTGATAAGGGAAATGTTAAAGAAAATGTCATCACATCATAGAGCTGTCTTGGGCAACTATGAGCAAGTTCTAAAGAAATAAAAGACAATTACTAGTGGGCAACATGTGCCAAATGCCTAGAAAGCCAACAAATTGTGTTCAATGACAGAAATTTTCAAGAAATCTTAAACAGAACAGCTGCCAAAATGTGACTGGATTGAACAGGGCTTTGGGATGATGGAGAGAGGAGTTCATCAAATCCTCTTCTTAAAAAGCAGTGATAAAACTGAACAAAATTGTCCAACACTAAGATTTCAGGATTCTGGAATAGACCAAAGGTACAATTTCTTTAGAAATGGACGAAAGGCATAAAGCAAAATAAGACACTCAGATTCAATAATAAAGAAAAACTAAACCCTGGATAATAACAGCGGGAATCTGTGGGGTTTTAGCCTGAAGCTGCTCCCTACTTGTCTTTCCCAGCACCCATCAGCTTAGTAGCTCTATAAGGTCAGGGGCAAGCGGTGAAACCAGCAGCTTTATTGCCCAAGGAGGGGATGTCTTAATTTGCAGCAAAGGTCAGAAAAAAAAACCCATGCACCTGGGCACTGTCAGAAACAGCAGCCACAGTGATGTTAAAAGAATAGGGAAGGCCGGGCGCGGTGGCTCACGCCTGTAATCCCAGCACTTTGGGAGGCCGAGACGGGCGGATCACGAGGTCAGGAGATCGAGACCATCCTGGCTAACACGGTGAAACCCCGTCTCTACTAAAAATACAAAAAAATTAGCCGGGCATGGTGGCGCGCGCCTGTAGTCCCAGCTACACGGGAGGCTGAGGCAGGAGAATGGCGTGAACCCGGGAGGCGGAGCTTGCAGTGAGTCGAGATCGCGCCACTGCACTCCAGCCTGGGCGACAGAGCGAAACTCCGCCTCAAAAAAAAAAAAAAAAAAAAAAAGAATAGGGAAAATCAAAGGTCAAAGCTATACTGACTTGATGATCCTGGATGGGTCTAGTAACAAACTGGCAGACTAGCCAGAAATTTAACAGGAAGATGCAGGGAATGAGTGAGACTTGATAAGCAAGTACATATCCCTGGAAATCTGGAAGGCTGTGCGTAAGGCCATGCACCCATGCAGAGGTGAAACAAGCAGGCTGAGCAGAAAGTAAAAGCCAGGGAAGACTTAACAAATTGACTGAATTCTGAATGCATCCCCCAAGCCACAAATATATCTGTTAGTAAACAGTGGAACTGTTACTGGCTTGAGATGATTAAACACGACCTCTGACCAATCACTGGCCCAATACCAAGTTATGCTCACCCAAGGTTACCCCTAGAAAGCCAGATTTAACAAAACGGAAGGAAGGAAGGGAGGAAGAAAGGAAGGAAGGAAGGAAGGAAGGAAGGAAGGAAGGAAGGAAGGAAGGAAGGAAGGAAAGAAAGAAAAAAAAATCACTCGGAAGAGACAGCAGTGTCCACCCAGAGGAAGACAGGCTTCATAGAATTAGCACAGGCAACTTACTAAACAAATAAACAAAATAGCAGCAGCAAAAACCCCCAGCTGGGGAAAGATCAGAATCCAGAGTTGCTACAATACGCCAAAAATGTCCAGTTTTCAATAAGAAAAAAGTGACGTCTGACAAGAAATATGTAATTTTGACTGCTAGTAATAAAAAAACACATCCACTGAAACTGTTTCTAAAAGTTTCCAAATGTTTAACTTAGCAGACAGACTACCAGACAATGATCATAAATATGTTCAAAATACCAAAAGAACCATGTTTATAAGAATTAAAGGAAATTATGATAACAATGACACATTAGAGAATCTCCAAGCAACTAAAATGAATGAATTAATGATAGATAATAGATACACACACACATACATACAGTGAGTGTAAGTATAATTCTTGTCACTTGCAAATATTATACATTGAAATTACATCTAGTAAGCTAAAACAAATTCTATGATTCCTTGATACTCCTTATAGTATGGGATAGTTCAGTCAGTCCTCTACCAATTTCAACTCATGAGTTCAAGATTTGGGAACTGAGCTGAATAAAAGAGACAAGTGAGGCAAGAGGCTTTAAAGAGAAACTAAAAACATAAGTCCCAATATATGGTAATACAATAATAAGATCAATATGACACACAGATACTATATTTTATATTATTTCATATAAATAATGTGTAAGGTAGATGATACTTGGATTAAATCATACATGTTGATGTCTCTTCATCCTATATATTTCCATGAGAGATACCTAATAACCAAAAATAATCATAAAAAACAGTTTCTAAGGGCAGAAAAATTAAATATGCACACTATGTATTTTCCCTTCAGTCATAATCAAGAGACTGATAAACTGTGAAGTTTTTGAAATCATTCTTTTCCCACATCAAGTGCTACAAAAATCCTTTTCCCACAATCACAATAACACTTTACCTTTGTTTTTATTAAGACGAGTAAGTCTTTTTCTTCTTTCTGAAGACTGGCTAACACTGAAGAAAATATGTTTTTCTTATACCCTACATGCATTCAAAGAAAATTATATTTTTTAAAATTTATTGATACTGGTGTAACAACCACAAAACTTAAAATGTTATTATAGTAGGCACTGGGGTGTCTAGAATGCTTGGAAACTACAACCTAATTGGCAGGGTTGTAGATCATAGAGTGTCAATAAGAGCAAAGGTTCCCTGAAAATCACAGAGTGTCAATGAGAAAACGGTTCCCAAACATCAAAAAGCTAGTGAAAACTGTCTCCTCATTAGTAACTTCAGTTGCTTATGGGATATGGGTTGTTATGGAAACTGCAGTAAGAATGAGAAAAAAATTGGGAGACAGAAAAATATTGTCATAATGGGCAGGAGCTCATCTATAAACTCTTTTTTTTTTTTTTTTTTTTTTGAGACAGAGTCTGTCTCTGTTGCCCAGGCTGGAGTGCAGTGGCGGGATCCCAGCTCACTGCAACCTCCATCTCCTGGGTTCAAGCGATTCTCCTTCCTCAGTCCCCCAAGTAGCTATATTACAGGCGCGAGCCACCACAGTCCAACTAATTTTTGTATTTTTAGTAGAGACAGGGTTTCACCATATTAGACAGGCTTGGCTTGAACTTTGGACCTCAAGCAATCTGTCCACTGCGCCTCCCAAAGTACTGAGATTATTACAGGTGTGAGCCACCGCACCTGGGCTTCTATAAACTCTTCATAAAACCTTTCTTCTTTGAGTTATCAGGTGCCAGTTTGATCTCATGTTATCATCAAATTCAAAATGTCTTTCAAGGTTGTAGGAGTGAGTCCGATCTCTAGCTTTACCTTTGTCTCTCCAGAATTCTTAAGAGCCTGAGTTACAGGGTATTGGGGCAAGTTTTATGGTATTAGTAACAGATTGATCTTATTTAACAAGTTTAGGGGATTACAAAGATCTTGCTGTACATGCTAGTACATACATCCCATGTCTCATAAGCCTCTTAATTCTCTACCCAAGGGTGTCTTTTACTATTATAATGAGCATAATAAGTCAGCCCAAAGACACTAATCATGGGTTTCTGCAGTTGCATGAATTTGGGGATTTTCCCTTCTGCTCTTTTACCTCCTTGCTGCAAAGTGTTCAACCATGAGCCCAGAATGCAGTTCATACACTGCAGAGTGGATTGTTATCTCCATTTATTTGGCAGGTTTGCTCCCCTTTAAGAGACACTATGACCACCTTATCTAACCTACTTCAAGAGGAGGCATCTCTCACAGAAACTTTGTATCTCTCAATAAGCGTGTCTCCTCTCATTAAAGGTAAAGAAGTGCAAGCCTCTGTGTTCACTGAGTGTTCATCTAAATTACATCTAGTCTGCATTTTCATGACATCAAAAATGACTTACTTGTTTTTCACTACAGCATATTACCTCCTGGTGTTTTCACCAGGTGTTTTTAGATGTCACTGTTACTGTTACTATCATTTTTGAGTGGCTGTTTTTCAAATCATGAAGGTAGTTGTAAGATAACTACCTTATAAGCCATAGGCATTTGCATTTATTTCAATCTTTTTGGCTACCTAGGAAAAACAATACTTTAGTCCAAAGAGCTTTGAAGTCGATAGACTTAAATAGAAATCTAGACGTTGTCACTAACCAGCTATGAACGAACATTGGGCAATTTCCTTAACCTGAGCCTTTACCCTGAGACTGTTAAGTACAAAATCTTTGACAAAAATTCTGGAAGAAAAAAAAAACTCCATAGATTATAAATAAAATTAAGGCCAAGTATTAAAAAAAAGAAAATTCTGGAAGAACATAGCATGGTTGTGGCCCCAGGACATTTCTTAGAAATCGTACATTTTGAGTAGTGGGAAGATGAAAGTAAAAATAAGCCTTTTTAACAGATTTGCCACTGAAATTATCAATAGTCAGGTACTTTGTAGAACAAGTTTATTACTATGTGGACTTGTTACTTGAGTGACATTCAGGTATCAAAAAGTCACAGAAATGTTATCTCATGGGCACTAAGAGTCATTTTTCATGTGTGTCTGTTTTTAAAGTTTAAACAATTAACAGTACTCAAGTGACAGAGACTCATGAAAGATGACAGTCTATCAGCACTTCTCAACAAGGATTCCAGGAGAGCATTAAGCCCTGATGGCCCAAGACATCCATCATATTTAATGAATTAACCTATCTCCTGTGTATATAGAATATTACTAGCATACCATCCTCGGGAAAACTGAGAAAAGAATAGCCTGATCATGGCTTAATTTCCTCACAGAACACCAGTAAATGAAAGCTGATAGCTACGGGGTTGAAGGACCTAGGATTTAGTCACATTTTCCTGACAAGGCCTGTAAATGCTCTACTCTCTGTCTCAAGGATCATCTTGTTGCCTATGATAGATAATAAACAAGGTCATACATATCTCACTAGTCAATTTTGGGTTTTTACCCAACATTTTATTCTTTAAAAGATTTAGACTAACAGAGTTATTTAGTGTTTCCAGTTGTGTGTTTTATTTAGCAAGTGAGTAAAAATACTGGAATATTGAAGTATTTGCATAAAAAAGGAAACGGTATTGTTTTGTAATCTCTGTTTTATTTCCTACTAAAGTTTTATATGTAAAAAAAAGCCTATGGAGTGTGAATTAGAGACAGACTAGGACAAGGCTATAAAGATACCACAGAATCGTCACAGCTCTAGAGTCAGACACCTACTAGCTATGAAACTTGGGACAACAATTTAATTTTCTGAGTTTTAGTTTACGTGTAAAATGAGTATAAGTAATAACTTCTTCATAAGGCTGATGAAAGGATTAAATGCAAAAAACCTGGTTAAGTGTTTAAATTCAAAAGAAACTCATTAAACAACAGTACATATGATTTATTCTTACTATTACATCTAATTCTCAAAGTCTTCCAGAAGAAAGAACTATCCTGCTTTAAATGCAGCATACCTACCCATCAGAGCCCCAGTGAGTAGGATACCTAGAAGACAGGAATTGGCTTGGAAACGGAGAAAGTAATTGGGAATATCTTTTGGCTTTTCAGTAAGTCAGAGAGTCAAATAATTCAAAGATTTAAAAGGATTAAGAGTCACTGCTCTTATCATCCCTTGCTGGAAAAATAATGTGATTTACTAATACATGAATTTCTAAAATAATGATTCAAATCTAAGTAGAAAAACTGGAGTATATGGGTTTCCAGAGAATGAAGAATTGGATGTTCAAGAAAATTTCATTGGTAATTAGGGAAATGCAAATAAAGTAACAATAAAATATGATTTTTTACACATCGGTCAGTAAAAAGTAAAAATAAGTAATAAATGTCTATATTTGACAAGGGTATGGAGACCAAAACTGTGGAAGTAGAAATTGGTGCAGCCTTTTTAGAGGGTAATTTGGCATCTATTCTATATGTGCATGTCTTTTTACTCAGAATTCCACTTCTATGAATCTACGCTACAGGATTCTGACCTGTTCAAAGATAAACATTCTAAAATATTATTATTTCTTTTTGTAATTAAAATGAAACAAAAATTTTACCAATAGGAAAATATGTATATTAATCATGATTATGCTATGCTACAGATGCAATGCAACCATTTTACATCACAAAACAATTTCTATATGCTGGTTTGGATAGTCATCCCAGATATATCACTAATTGAAAAAGAAAAGAAAAAAATAAAGCAAGTTCCAAAACAATCTTCAGAGTATGATATTATTTATTTATATACATATATGTATATATAGCATTGGGAATCATGTGTGTGCACATGTGTGTACAAATGCACCCTATCCACATGAATGATTTACACACCCTATCCACATGAATGATTTAAATATGTTAAATAGTAGAATGTAAAAATTATTAACTCCCCTTTTATGACCTTCTCTCAATCCCTTCCCTTCTCCAAAGAGAATCACTATCATCTGTCTGGCATATATCTTGCTCTTTCTCTCTCTCCCTCTGTCTCTGTGTGTGTGTGTGTGTGTGTGTGTGTGTGTGTGTGTGCGCGCATGGCATTCCCAATGCTATATCTATAGCATATATATATGCTATATTATAATATATAATATGTATATGCTATACATAAATTGCTTCCACTAAACTGAGAACTCCTTGAGGCCAGAGGCTATAAGTATTTTAATATTCTCTCAATACCAGGCAACTCACACTGATTTAAACACTGATAGTATTAAGTCTGTTTGTTCATGATTTAAATTTGTTTAATTTAAATTGAGGACATTCATGTTGTATATATAAATATTATATATATATGCTAGATTCCCAATGCTATTAGTAATTTTTACACTCTACTATTCCACATATTTAAATTTCCCATCAAACACACATTACTGTTGTGAACAAGTATTTTAAATCACCAAACATGGTGGCCGTTGCCCGTCATCTCAACATTTTAGGAGGCTGAGGCGGGAGGATTGCTTGAGACCAGGAGTTCAAGACCAGCCTGGGTAACATAGAGAGACTCCATCTGTACAAAAAAATAAAATTTTATCCAGGCAGGTTGGTGCATGCCTGTAGCTACTGGGGAGGCTGAGGCAGGAGGAACGCTATAGCCTGGGAAGCCAACGCTGCAGCAAGCCATGATTACACCACTGCACTCCAGCCTGGGCAATAAAGAGAGATTTTATCTGTCTCCAAAAAAACAAAAAGAAGTATTTTAAATAACTGCTAAGGAATTTAATATCTGTCTTTCTCATCTGGTCCAGGAACAGCCCTGGAAGTTTGATCTAATAATCAAAACTTCTTCTTCTAGATTAATCCTCTACTATAAATTAATCAGGTAGCAAAAATAGAGCTAAAGCAAAAAACAATAGATATGTTAGGAGAGTTATAAAAACTACAAAATGAATGTCCTTAATTTAAATTCAACACATTTAAATCGTGAACAAACAGACTTAATACTAGCAGTGTGTAAATCAGTGTGAGTTGCCTGGCATTGAGAGAATATTGAAATACGGATAGCCTCTAGCCTCAAGGAGTTCTCAGTTTAGTGGAAGAAATTTCTGTATAGGCAGACATTTTCAATATCCTGACATAAATTCAGTGCTTAAGGGTACTCTCAAAAGTTTTAAAAACAATAAGAAGGAGTCCCAGAAAGGAAGTCTGGATAATGTTTGCTCCTAGACTCTAAGGATTAATCTCTTTAAGAACTAAGGCTCTTATCCATCTGACTGCAAATAAGCCAAATTGAAATAAATAAACAAATAGGCAATGACTCCTTAATAACTGTCCTATATATTTCAATTTATTGTTTTCCTTAAGAAGTTAAAAAATTAGGTATCTATGCAAATACCATATTATGTTTTAGCTATGAACAAATTAGAAGATTTAGGATTGCATCATTTATTTATTTATTGCTGGATACCCACCAACAATAGCCACAGACAATTACTTAGTCATGTATAATATACAGAGTACCTATGTGTACATCATTTCATTTTATCTTTACAACTTTCGTGTTAGGCAGGAAGAATTTTCCCCGTTGTACACATTAGGAAATAGAGATTCAGAGATATTAAAATAGACTGTTCTTAGCCAGTGCAATTATGCCATAAATGGGGCATTTTTCTCTATCCTGAAGAAGATTCTAGATTTGCAAATACCATATTTAACAATTAGGCAAAATATAACAAAGTGTTCCTGTTTTCTCCACTATTAACTGCAGGACCTTTTTAGACCATGCTGATATGATTACAGTAATTATCATGGTAACAAGAATGGAACATATTGTAAGATAAGGGAAAATATCGACCTAAACTTTCCTTAGAACTCCTAGAAGTGCTCAAAATGGCACCTTACACTTTTCAGATCAGAGTTCTCTTCATGTAATTGCTTTCTCCATCCAAAGCACTTTTAGTAATTTAATTTTTCACGTCCATGACTTAGTTCAGTAAGATACTGCCTCAGCAACGAGACTTTCAGGAAATTCGGCACAAATAGCTTATTTTTAAAAAGGAACTTATTGAAATCATACAACTGAAACTCCAAGAATATGTTTGCTTCAGGTATGTCTTGATCCAGGAGTTTAATAATGACATAAAGACGAAGACTCCCTTCATCTACTGGTTCCACTCTCCCAGAGTGCAAAATGGTTACCAGCAGTTCCAGACCACAGGCTTGCATGTTCAAATCCAGAAGGCAAAGTCCACATATCTTTTTCCTTAGCTGCTCACATAAGTTTTGTTGTGCCTTATTGGCTCTTATTGAGTGACATATTTATTTCTGAACTTTGGAAGAGTTCAGGAAAAAAGTGATACTTTGAATGGTTAGGCCTAAATCTCAAGTCAATCTTTTGAGCTGGGAATAAGTCAATGTCATGCAAAGCACACAAAATAAGGGAAAAAGGAGTGGATCCCAGAGGAAAATTAGTATACCCTTACCAGAGAAAGCTTAATAAATTCTGGATCACTAAAACAAGTCATTTATGACAATTTCTTATAGATCTGATATTAATACTCCAAGTACAATTTTATATTGACTGAAGGCTGATAATTTGTTTTGTGGCATAAAATTAAATAAGGGTAAGGAAAGGTGCTATTGATTAAGTTTCCTGGAGAACAGACTCTGAAATGGAAATTTGCAGGCATGAAGTTCATTAGGAAGTGATTTCAGTATCAACATTTGTAACAGAGTGAAAGAAGAATAAGTGAGCAGTGGGAAAAGTTGAACTCTGAAAAAGTTGGCCGCAGCCAATCCCTTGGAGATCTCTGAAACTAGCCTACTCTTCTAATAGTCTAGTCTTCTACATTGCCCTGAATTGAGGCAAGGGGAACAGGCCCTTACATTCTTGCTTTGTAATTGGATGTAGGTTACTCCTGAAGAGCAAATGTAAACTTGGGTGAGGCAAAGGCCTCCTGCCGAGGGCATTCTGTGGGAGGGTCTCAGCTGTGCCCTCTCAGCAGTTAACGCTTCCAGAAGCTGGTGGAATGAGTGCCTTGATACTGATGTGAGTGTTCTGGGCAGCACTCCACCACATTCTTGGGTCTACCCCTTGTTCCACCCATATCCATCAGTAGTAATTAAGTCCACCTCATCTGGGAATACTTCCTCCAGGATTTGGTCATTCTCTTCCTGGGGACACACACAAGTGAAAGGTTAGTGAGATAAATGACAATCCCTCCACCACTGCAGCTCTTCTCAGTGTCTCAACTGATATTCATCATCTCTTTCCTCTGTTACTAATTCTAGATTTCCCCCACACTCAGCACCTCTGCCAGTCTAAGCCCCAGGATGTAAGCCCCTGCCTACCACAGCTTTTTTATACTACAGTTACTGCACTTGTCGATTGATGATCACAAGTGGGTGGAGGTGTACCAAGAAACACCTAGTGGATCCTCTGGTGTTCACTGGAGGACAACAGTCCTACCCTCTTCTGATGATGAGGGTCAATTTTCACTACTACGTGCCTCCTTTACTTGCCTTCTGACTTCTTGGCACAAAGATTCTAATGTGTTTAAAACCTCAGCCATAAAATTTAATAGGATCCTTTCTGCGTCTCCTGGTGAAAGCACTCTCCCTCTGGGAGTCATAATCTCTAGACCCATACAGCCCAAAGTTGTAGGGATAAGAAAGACAAATTCTGTAATGGAATCATTGAAAGTGATGCGAAACTGGTCAATTCCTTCTACCACTTCTTTGGTTCCCAGACTTATGTAGTCTGGAATATTTATTAGGGATACAGCACATTATAATGGTTATTGATTAAGAACATATAGAATGTTCTGTGCCCTTACTAAGCTGCTCATTTATCACTCTGTCACTCTGGCAGGCCAGTATTTTCTGGATGGTGTGGTACAAGATAGAACAGTGGATATCATAGCTATGTGCTCAAAGTTACACTGTTTGCTGTAAAGTGGATTCCTTTGTCTGATGATGCATTATGTTAAATTCATATCCATGGACCAGATACTTCTAACCCCTTGGAGAGTGGAGCTAGCCTCAGCCCTATGAACAGGAAAACCTATATCATACCCAAAATCAATTCCAATCCCAGTCTACATGAATCTCTTCTCATTCCAGGGTGAGAGGTGTCCAATATAATCAAATGGCTAGTTAGCCTTGAGGAACGGTGTCATATTAAGGGCTCAGCAATTGTCTATTGCTGGCAGGTTACACCTAAATAGTATCATAGCTGGATTAACATAGGTGAGTTGAAGCCCAAGCTGTGGGCTCATGAATAGCCTTCGTCTTTGCCAACATGGCTACTTCCAGCACCAGAGTGGTTAATTTGACATCAGCTATTCAAAGTACAATTGTCTATTTAGTTGTTTAGTGCCACTGCTGCACAGGCTGTTTCTGGTGTATATTCTTATATAAAACAAAGGACTTCTAATTTCAGTCAAGATAAAGTCTGAGACTGAATCTCTACTCCCACCTGAAACAACCAAAAAAAAAAAAAAAAAAGGAACAGAAAAATAGGAGAATACTATACTAAGGCTTTTACACTATTTTCACTATGAATAGAACGGTATAAAAGCACTTAAGTGTTAACCGTGATAACTTAAACGTTTGTATTTTAAATTCTAAATCAACCCCTAAAATAGCAAAGAATTACAGAATCATAAAAAATACAATTAATCCAAATGAAAGCAGAAAAAGGGGGAAATGAAACAAAGAACACATGGGCATATAGAAGATAAATAGCAAGAGAAAAGATTTAAACCTAAGCATATCAATAATCACATTAAATGTAAATGATTTGAAGTCTTCATTAAATGGCAGAGATTGTAAATTAGAGAAAAAAGGAAGATGCAACTATTTGCACCTTACAAGAAATTCACTTTAAATATATAAACAAAAATTGGTTAAAAAGTAAATGGATGAAAAAAGATATGTCTTGCCAACACTAACCAAAAGAAAGTTGATTAGGTATATTAATTTTGGCATCATCTTCAAGTAATGTGTTTTGCTAGCTTTTAATGGGATGGAATGAGCTACTCCTTTTTTTTTTTTTTTTTTTTTTTTTTTTTTTGAGATGGAGTTTTGCTCTTGTTGCCCAGGCTGGAGTGTAATGGCACAATCTCCACTCACCGCAACCTCCGCCTCCCAGGTTCAAGGGATTCTCCCATATGAGCCTCCAGAGTAGCTGGGATTACAGGCATGTGCCACCATGCTCAGCTAGTTTTTGTATTATTAGTAGAGACAGGGTTTTACCAAGTTGGCCAGGCTGGTCTCGAACTCCCGACCTCACATGAACCACCCGCCTCGGCCTCCCAAAGTGCTGCTGGGATTACAGGCGTGAGACACCTCGCCCAACCAGAATGAGCTACTTCTATAGGCCCAGAAGGTTCACGGAAATCAGAAGGGATTTTTGTTTTGTTTTGTTTTGTTTTTGAGACGGAGTCTCACTCTGTCGCCCAGGCTCGAGTGCAATGGCATGATCTCGGCTCATTGCAATCTCTGCCTCACGGGTTTAAACAATTCTCCTGCCTCAGCCTCCCAGCCTGTAGCTGGGAATACAGGCACCCGCCACCATGCCCAGCTAATTTTTGTATTTTTAGTAGAGATGAGGTTTCACCATGTTGGCCAGGCTGGTCTCAAACTCTTGACCTCAAGTGATCCACCCGCCTCAGCCTCCCAAAGTGCTGGGATTACAGGTGTGAGCCACCATGCACAGCCAGAAGTCGGAAGTTTTAAGTTGCAGTTACTTTGACTCAAATGTCCCCAGCCCAAATTCAGCATTCCATTCCTTCTCAACCAAGATTCTTACCTTGAATGGCAGAATTGCTGGCCTTGAGAACTCAAATTCTCTGCTGTCAGGAAGCCCAGTTCAAGTCCTGATATTCAGCACTTCTTTTTCTCTGGCTTTCAGAAATTAGAACTTCTTTATATCTTACTACTGAGGTCCTTTGGCTTTCACAGATAAGTCACTGATCAATCACCCTCAGCCTTTTGTTGTCTTTCTCCACTGTACCAAGGCCACTCAGCAAGAGACATTCAATTCCACAGACCTTATGATTACTATTTCCCCCAAAGCTGTTAAATACCAGAGATATTGAATCTTCTAGTTTATTTCCTTCCACCAGCATCTGATCTTGGTTTACTACCAATGGAAGTTTGAATAACTGGACTGCTACATCATGCCACAGGCTATTTATATTCCACATACCACCAGTAATGGTTGTCCTTATTGCCGGCTGCCTTGCACATAAGCATCTCCAAGATCTCATTTAAGAGTACAACTGTCATTTAGAATTTTCTGATACCAACTGTCCTAGGTCAGGTTTCCTAGTAAACAGGCTCTGAGATTAAGGTTTTCAGGTGGTTTATTAAGAAATACTTTCAAAATAAAATCCAAGAGCAGTGATGGGAAAGATAGAGTACTGGACAAAATGAGAACATGAACTGTGATGCAGTTGTGACAGAGACCTTGGCTGATACCATGGGGTTCTCTGTAGTTGGAATGTCCCAAATAAAAGCAAGAGGGCCAAGCCCTTATGCCCCACATTGGCCTGCCTTTGGATAGGATGTTCCTGAAAAGGAGACATAATCTTGGGCAAGAAGACTTGCCTTTGCTGAAGGTAATTCCTTGTTAGGCAGTCAGCTGTGAGCTGTCAATAAAGTAGAAAATAATTTAAACATGTGTACTGTAAATCTTAATTCAATTTTTTAAATAACAGCTAAGTGAATGAGTGCTTTGATGTTAAATGTAGCAAATGCTAGGGAAAAGGGGAGGACCAGGCAAGAAATTTGGGTAGCACACCATAAATCTACCATAAAAAGCAATATGAAATGAAAGGGGGAAATAACACAGCTAATTTTTTTTTCTCATCTTAGTGTTCCATGAGGTAGATTAGAAGAAAAAGTTCCACTGTTAACTCATTTACTTGGGGGAAGGAAGATGATAAGGAAAAAACAGTTCAGTGGGAATTTTGGGCACCTTTTCCAAAAGATTCTTAAAAAACAGATCTCCTTTACTTACAGTGATCAAATAGTCACAAACATATTATAGATGCACAGTCCTTTTTACTTCTTCAGGTTGACAGGTGGAAACATCAATCTATCAGGGATGGAAAGGAAAAGGCCAAGAGAACAACGAATCTAACTGTTACTAATTTTCAAAACAAACAAGACTATTTGCCAACTGCAGATCTGCTTAATTTTCATCATGAGCCCAACTCTTCTATTTCATTCTCATGGGACCCATCCACATTGGAGAATTTGTCTACTTAATGCAACAAAAATCAATCAAAGTCAATTTTTGTGTAGACAAAAAAAAAAAAAGTCCGAGTTTTTTCAGATAATCTTGTGGGGGATAAGTATTATTGGATCACAACTTTCTTCTGCCTCCCCTTAATTCAAATGCTCTTATAAAGAAGCTCTCTTTTAGAGTTAATATGAGAAAGACGTATCCAAAAGCAAAGAGTTAATATGAGACAGACCTATCTCAAAGCAATCTCCAAACACCAAATGTATCCGTTTTGTTTTCTTGACTAAAACTAGTTTTACTTCAAATGTATTTCAAACATGACTCATCAAGAACTCACCTTATACATTCTCACATGGTACCTGACACAGCCATAAGAAGCTATCCCCATACAACTATCACAGTTTCCAACTACATCTCCAAATTAAGTTTTGTTTTGTTTTATACTGTAAGTTCTAGGGTACATGTGCACAACGTGAAGGTTTGTTACATAGGTATACCTGTGCCATGCTGGTGTGCTGCACTCATTAACCCATCAATTACATTAGGTATTTCTCCTAATGCTATCCCTCCCGCAGCCCCCCTCCACCCCCCGACAGGTCCCAGTATGTGACATTCCCTGCCCTGTGTCCACATGTTCTCATTGTTCAATTCCCACCTATGACTGAAAACATGCGGTGTTTGGTTTTCTGTCCTTGTGATAGTTTGCTCAGAATGATGGTTTCCAGCTTCATCCATGTCCCTGCAAAGGATATGAACTCATCCTTTTTATGGCTGCATAATATTCCATGGTGCATATGTACCACATTTTCTTAATCCAGTCTTTCACTGATGGTTGGTTCCAAGTCTTTGCTATTGTGAATACTGCCACAATAAACATACAGGTGCATGTGTCTTTACAGTAGCATGATTTATAATCCTTTGGGTATATACCCAGTAATGGGACTGCTGGGTCAAATGGTATTTCTAGCTCTAGATCCTTTCACCACACCTTCTTCCACAATGGTTGAACTAGTTTACACTCCCACCAACAGTGTAAAAGCTTCCCTATTTCACCACATCCTCTCCAGCATCTGTTGTTTCCTGACTTTTTTTTTTTTTTTTTTTTTGAGACGGAGTCTCACTCTGTTGCCCAGCCTGGAGGGCAGTGGCGCGATCTTAGCTCGCTGCAAGCCTCACCTCCCAGGTTCATGCCATTCTCCTGCCTCAGCCTCCCGAGTAGCTGGGACTACAGGCACCCGCCACCACACTCAGCTAATTTTTTGTATTTTTAGAGGAGATGGGGTTTCACCGTGTTAGCCAGGATGGTCTCGATCTCCTGACCACGTGATCCACCCGCCTCGGCCTCCCAAAGTGCTGGGATTACAGGCATGAGCCACCACTCTGGGCCTGTTTCCTGACTTTTTAATGATGGCCATTCTAACTGGTGTGAGATGGTATCTCATTGTGGTTTTGATTTGCATTTCTCTGATGACCAATGACGATGAGCATTTTTTCATGTGTCTGTTGGCTGCATAAATGTCTTCTTTTGAGAAGTGTCTGTTCATATCCTTTGCCCACTTTGATGGGGTTGTTTGATTTTTTCTTGTAAATTTGTTTAAGTTCTTTGTATATTCCAAATATTAGCCCTTTGTCAGATGGGTAGATTGCAAAAATTCTCTCCCATTCTGTAGGTTGCCTGTTCATACTGAGGGTAGTTTCTTTTGCTGTGCAGAAGCTCTTTAGTTTAATGAGATCCCATTTGTCTACTTTGGCTTTTGTTGCCATTGCTTTTGCTGTTTTAATCATGAAATCCTTGCCCATACCTATGTCCTGAATGGTATTGTCTAGGTTTTCTTCTAGGGTTTTTATGGTTTTAGGTCTAATCCATCTTGACTTAATTTTTGTATAAGTTGTAAGGAAGGGATCCAGTTTCAGCTTTCTACATATGGCTAGCCAGTTTTCCCGGCACCATATATTACATAGGGAATCCTTTCCCCATTTCTTGTTTTTGTCAGGTTTGTAAAAGATGAAATGGTTGTAGATATGTGATGTTATTTCTGAGGGCTCTGTTCTGTTCCATTGGCCTATATCTCTATTTTGGTACCAGTACCATGCTGTTTTGGTTACTGTAGCCTTGTAGTATGGTTTGAAATCAGGTAGCGTGATGCCTCCAGCTTTGTTCTTTTTGCTTAGGATTGTCTTGGCAATGTGGGCTCTTTTTTGGTTCCATATGAACTTTAAAGTACTTTTTTTTAATTCTGTGAAGAAAGTCATTAGTAGCTTAAAGGGGATGGCATTGAATCTGTAAATTACCTTGGGCAGTATGGCCATTTTCATGATACTGATTCTTCCTAACCATGAGCATGGAATGTTGTTCCATTTGTTTGTGTCCTCTTTTATTTCATTGAGCAGTGGTTTGTAGTTCTCCTTGAAGAGATCCTTCACATCCCTTGTAAGTTGGATTCCTAGGTATTTTATTCTCTTTGTAGCAATTGTGAATGGGAGTTCACTCATGATTTGACTCTCTGTTTGTCTGTTATTGACATATAGGAATGCTTGTGATTTTTCCACATTGATTTTTGTATCCTGAGACCTTGCTGAAGTTGCTTAACCGCTTAAGGAGATTTTGGGTTGAGATGATGGGGTTTTCTAAACATACAATCATGTCATCTGCAAACAGGGAAAATTTGACTTCCTCTTTTCATAATTGAATACCCTTTATTTCTTTCTCTTGCCTGATTTCCCTGGCCAGAACTTCCAACACCATGTTGAATAGGGGTGGTGACAGAGGGCATCCCTGTCTTCTGTCAGTTTTCAAAGGGAATGCTTCCAGTTTTTGCCCATTTGGAATGATATTGGCTGTGGGTTTGTAATAAATAGCTGTCATTATTTTGAGATACATTCCATCAATACCTATTTTATTGAGAGTTTTTAGCATGAAGGGCTGTTGAATTTTGTTGAAGGCCTCTCTGCATCTATTGAGATAATCATGTGGTTTTTGTCTTTCATTCTGTTTAGTGATGGATTACGTTTATTGATTTGCATATGTTGAACCAGACTTGCATCCCAGGGATGAAGCCAACTTGTGCAAAAAGGCTGAAAATTCTAAAAACCAGAGTGCCTCTTCTCCTCCAAAGGATCACAGCTCCTCACCAGCAACAGAACAAAGCTGGATGGAGCTGAGAGAAGTAGGTTTCAGAAGGTCAGTAATAACAAACTTCTCTGAGCTAAAGGAGGATACTCGAACCCATCACAAGGAAGCTAAAAACCTTCAAAAAAGATTAGACAAATAACTAACTAGAATAAACAGTGTAGAGAAGACCTTAAATGACCTGATGGAGCTGAAAACCATGGCAGGAGAGCTACGTGGTGCATGCATAAGCTTAAACAGATGATTTGATCAAGTAGAAGAAAGGGTATCAGTGATTGAAGAACAAATTAATGAAATAAAGTCAGAAGTTTAGAGGAAAAAAAAGAGTGAAAAGAAACGAACAAATCCTCCATGAAATATAGGACTACGTGAAAAGACCAAATCTACATTTGATTGGTGTACCTGAAAGTGATGGGAAGAATGGAACCAAGTTGGAAAACACTCTTCAGGATATTATCCAGGAGAACTTCCCCAACCTAGCAAAGCAAGCCAACATTCAAATTCAGTAAATAAAGAGAACACCATAAAGATACTCCTTGAGAAGAGCAACTCCAAGACACATAATTGTCAGATTCACTAAGTTTCCAATGAAGGAAAAAATGTTAAGGACAGCCAGAGAGAAAGGTCAGGTTACCAACAAAGGGAAGCCCATCAGACTAACAGTGGATCTCTCAGCAGAAACTCTACAAGCCAGAAGAGAGTGGGGGCCAATATTCGACATCTTCAAGAAAAGAATTTTCAACCCAGAATTTCATATCCAGCCAAACTAAGCTTCATAAGTGAAGGAGAAATAAAATCCTTTACAGACAAGCAAACACTGAGAGATTTTGTCACCACCAGGCCTGCCTGACAGGAGCTCCTGAAGGAAGCACTAAACATGGAAAGGAACAGCCACCGCAAAAACATGCCAAATTGTAAAGACCATCAACACTATGAAGAAACTGCATCGATTAATGGGCAAAACAAACAGCGAACATCATAATGACAGGATTAAATTCACACATAACAATGTTAACCTTAAATGTAAATGGGCTAAATGCTTCAATTAAAAGACACAGACTGGCAAATTGGATAAAGAGTCAAGACCCATCAGTGTGCTGTATTCAGGAGATCAATCTCACATGCACAGACACACATAGGCTCGAAATAAAGGGATGGAAGAAGATCTACCAAGCAAATGGAAAGCAAAAAAGAGCAGAGGTTGCAATCCTCTGATAAAACAGACTTTAAACCAACAAAGATCAAAAGAGACAAAGAAGGCCATTACATAATGGAAACGGGATCAATTCAACAAGAAGAGCTACCTCTCCTAAATATACATACACCCAATACAGGAGCATCCAGATTCATAAAGCAAGCCCTTAGAGACCTACAAAGAGACTTAGACTCCCACACAATAATAATGGGAGACTTTAACACTCCACTGTCAATATTAGACAGATCAATGAGACAGAACGTTAACATGGATATCCACGACTTGAACTCAGCTCTGCACCAAGTGGACCTGATAAGCATCTACCGAACTCTCCACCCTAAATCAACAGAATATACATTCTTCTCAGCACCACATCATACTTATTCCAAAATTGACCACATAGTTGAAAATAAAGCACTCCTCAGCAAATGTAAAAGAACAGAAATCACAACAAACTGTCTGTCAGACCACAGTGCAATCAAACTAGAACTCAGGAGTAAGAAACTCACTCAAAACCGCACAACTACATGGAAACTGAACAACCTCCTCCTGAGTGACTATGGGGTCATTCAGGTCATAACAAAATGAAGGCAGAAATAAAGATGTTCTTTGAAACCAATGAGAACAAAGACACAACATACCAGAATCTCTAGGACACATTTAAAGCATTGTGTAGAGGGAAATTTATAACACTAAATGCCCACAAGAAAAAGCAGGAAAGATCTAAAATCGACACCCTAACATCACAATTAAAAGAACTAGAGAAGCAAGAGTAAACACATTCAAAAGCTAGCAGAAGGCACGAAATAACTAAGCTCAGAGCAGAACTGAAGGAGATAGAGACACAAAAACCATTCAAAAAATCAATGAATCCAGGAGCTGGTTTTTTGAAAAGATCAACAAAATTGATAGACCTAGTACTAGCAAGACTAATTAAGAAGAAAAGAGAGAAGAATCAAATAGATGCAATAAAAAAAGATAAAGGGGATATCACCACCAATCTCACAGAAATATAAACTACCATCAGAGAATACTATAAACACCTCTATGCAAATAAACTGGAAAATCTAGAAGAAATGGATAAATTCCTGGACACATACACCCTCCCAAGACTAAACCAGGAAGAAGTTGAATATCGGAACAGACCAATAACAGGGTCTGAAATTGAGGCAATAATTAATAGCCAACCACCCAGAAAAAGTCCAGGACCAGACAGATTCACAGCCGAATTCTACCAGAGGTACAAAGAGGAGCTGGTACTATTCCTTCTGAAACTATTCCAATCAACAGAAGAAAAGGGAATCCTCGCTGACTCATTTTATTAGGCCAGCATCATCCTGATACCAAAGCCTGGCAGAGACACAACGAAAAAAGATAATTTTAGAACATTATCTCTGATGAACATCAATGCAAAAATCCTCAATAAAATACTGGCAAACCGTATCCAGTAGCACATCAAAAAGCTTATGCACCAAAGTAAGTTTTAACAAAGTACATGCTATGAAACCCATGTCAACAGAGTACCACATTTTGAAAAAGACGAAAACCAGAAACAATACCTGCCTTTATAATCCAAATAATTATTGTAGAACTCTGATTCTTGGGTTCCTAACATCAAAGTGGTGAGATAATTAAAACACTCGTAGATGAAAGATTATGTACCCTCTTAGCCAATATTTCAAGGCTGTTTTCAGTATAGCAAATGAATGCCTGCATTTGCTGCCTTATTTTACAAGAAATAAAATTGGTGACAAAAATATATTTAACAACTACTTTTAAACATATTTTAATGACAATAAGAAACTGGTTAGATATACACTTTGTGTGCTACAGTCTAAAATTTCATTTTGTATTTTAACTGGATACTTTATCAGCTAATCTAAATATTTTGCATTATGCAGAAAGCTAAAACATTGAGAAACTATGGTTAATTAAATTATCTGATTAGCTAAATATTAAGGCAGATGATCTTTTAATTCAACAATTTCTGAATACACTCGATAGATAGCATAATTTAATTTTTCTTAGTGGCTCAGGATCTTATAAGGCTTCAAGAAGACTTTGCTCAGCCATAATATTATACTATAAATGTAGATGGTCAACATTAAGTTGTTTTACTGATATAAAGGAGTAGGCTTATGTATTGTTCATCTTCTAAAAAGAAGACAAGGAATGATTTTGAGTCCTCCATTAAATGTATGTAATACATATTGATAAAGAACATGTAGAAGTCCAGCCAATCAAGGGCTTTAAAATTACCAAGAGAAGCACCCATCTGTTATCTAAAATGACAAGAGCTTGTCACAAATATTCATAATATCATAAAGTAGAAGGTGTAATTACTTGCAATAGCATAGTCATGCTGGTTCTATTTTTCCCAGCTACAGAATATTCTGTAGACTGTGGTAATAACTGTAAACAGCTGTTTGGTCTTTAAAAAAACAGCAACAAATTTGAACTAAAAAGTCTACATTATCTTTCTCTTCCCAGCACTTATACTTTCCAAAAGTGTGGCCATTTAGTATAAGAAGTTTGTATTAAACCACCCACCTCTCAACTCATTTTTAATCCAGAACTAGCTAGGAAATGTCAGATTCCCTTCATATTTATCCCATATATAGTTCTTAGTTCCTTGCCCCATTTATGTTTCCTAGTCCCTTGTCTAGCCATCTGTGTTAATCTAACAACTGTTTCTATCTCCCTAACATAGCATTCATTAAAGATGGCAGGGACTAAGATAGAAAAGTAAACTGTTGGGGTGAATTTCTCAAAAGATGGCTCTGTGTGACGTGGGAATGAGAATATATGCAATTGTTCATAGAAATATTTTGTAAAATTCTAAAATTTATGTGGAACCACAAAAGACCCCAAATAGCCAAAGCAATCTTCAACAAAAAGAACAAAACTGGAGGCATCATTTCAAAATTTACCACAAATCTATAGTAACCAAAATAACCTGGTATTTGCATACAAGGAGACACACAAACCAATGGAATAAAATAGAGAGCCCAGAAATAAATCCAAATGTGAAGGAACAATTGATTTTCAACAAAGATGTCAAGAATACACAATGGGAAATGAACAGTCTCTTCAATAAACGGTACTGGGTAAACTGCATATACACACGAAAAAGAATGAAATTAGACTTTCCTCCCACACCATACACAAAAATTGACTCAAAATGATTAAAGAATTAAATGTGAGATCCGAAGCTGTAAAACTGCTAGAAGAAAACATAGGGGGAAAAAGCTCCATGGCACTGGTTGGGGCATGATTTTTGGATATGATCTCAAAGGCACAGGCAACAAAAGCAAAATTAGACAAATGGGATTATATTGAACTAACAAGCTTCTGCACAGGCAATGAAACAATCAACAAAGTGAAGAGCTCACATAAAGAGTGGGAGACTACATTTGCAAACCATACATATCATAAGGAGTTAATATCCAAAATATTAAGAATCTCAAACAACTCCATAGTGAGAAAACCTGATTTTTTTAATGAGCAAAAGACATGAATACACATTTCTCAAAAGAACACAAATAAATAGCCAACAAGTATATAAAAAAATGTTCAACATCACTAATTGTCAGGGAAAAAGCAAATTAAAACCACATGAGATACCACCTCAGACCTGTTAGAATGGCTGTTATCAAAAAGGCAAAAGATAACAAGAATCGGCAAAAATGTGGAAAAAAGCAAATCCTTGTACACTGTTGGTGGGAATGTAAATTAGTACAGCCATTGTAAAAAACACTACGGAGATTCCAGAAAAAATTAAAAATAAAACTACCAAACACATGATCCATAAATCCCACTACTGGGTATATATCCAAAGAACATAAAACCAGAATGTCAAAATGACATCTGCACTACCATGTTTATTGCAGCACTATTCACAATAGCCAAGATATGGAATCAACCTAAGTGTCCATCAGCAGATGAACGGAAAAAGAAAATGTAGTGTGTATACACAATATAATACTATTCAGCCTTAAAAAAAATGAAGAAATTCCTTCCATTTGCAGCAGCCTGAAGGAACCTAGAGGACATTACATTACATTAAATAAGCCAGGACCAAAAAGACAAATACTACATGATCTCATTTACATATGAAATCTAAAACCACGGAACTCATAAAAGCAGAGAGTAAAGTGATGGTTATCAGAGGTTGGTGGAGTGGCAGTCTGGGTTGGGGTCAGGCAGAGTTGGCTACAGGACATCAAATTTCAATTAGACAGGAGGAATAAGTTTGAGGTATCCATTGTACATCATGACAACCATAGCTAATAATATATTTTATACTTAAAAATTGCTGAGAGTATATTTTAAGTATCCTCACTGCAAAAAATAATAATAATAAGTATGTGAGATAATGCATATGGTAAATAGCTGGATTTAGCCATTCTTCAATGTATGCATATATCAAAAAATCATGTTTTCCATCATAACTATATACAATTTAACTTGTGAATTAAATGAGCGAATTCTTAAAATAATTGATGTTGCTGGAGAGGATGTGGAGAAATAGGAACACTTTTACACTGTTGGTGGGACTGTAAACTAGTTCAACCATTGTGGAAGTCAGTGTGGCGATTCCTCAGGGATCTAGAACTAGAAATACCATTTGACCCAGCCATCCCATTACTGGGTATATACCCAAAGGATTATAAAACATACTGCTATAAAGACACATGCACACGTATGTTTATTGCAGCACTATTCACAATAGCAAAGACTTGGAACCAAGCCAAATGTCCAACAATGATAGACTAGATTAAGAAAATGTGGCACCTATACACCATGGAATACTATGCAGCCATAAAAAATGATGAGTTCATGTCCTTTGTAGGGACATGGATGAAACTGGAAACCATCATTCTCAGCAAACTATCGCAAGGAAAAAACCAAACACCGCATGTTCTCACTCATAGGTGGGAATTGAACAATGAGAACACATGGACACAGGAAGGGGAACATCACACACCAGGGACTGTTGTGGGGTCGGGGGATGGGGGAGGGATAGCATTAGGAGATATACCTAATGCTAAATGACGAGTTAATGGGTGCAGCACACCAACATGGCACATGTATACATATGTAACAAACCTGCACATTGTGCACATGGACCCTAAAGCTTAAAGTATAAAAATAATAAAATAAAATAAAGTAAAAAATAAAATAAAATAAAATAATTGATGTGGTAACATATGACAGATGTTGCTATTAGTAAAATATTAAAAATTTTTAAAAGAATATATGAAGTCTAGTAAGTCAGGTTTGGATGTAATGAAGTTAACTCACAGGAATTGACTTGACTGGGTTTCTTAAGTATGAAACCCACAAGAACAACACCCTCTTCCAAAGACCTTTTCCACTAACTCCACCAAACAAAACAGACATAGTCTTTCTCTTTTCCAGAGTCCATTTCTTATGTAGCAGCCAGATTTCTCCCTACACTATTTACAACTCTCCCACCCCAATTTTATTTGATCATCTTGTTCTCTGAGCCAGTAATCAGTAAGATTCTAATTACCTTTCATCCTTTTTTGAGGCATGCATTCATCCATTAATCTTCAGTAATAATGTCACTTAGAAAAGTCCTTTTATATTTCATACATCCTAGAGCTCATTTTGAAATTCTTGGCTATTTGCTTATATGATTCTTGAGCTGGCTGCTAAAATGTTGGGAGACACAGTGGACAAGATAGAGAAGTACATATTCATATCTGATCCCACTTTCCCCCACTCTGGGAGAAGCAGTAGGCTTACAAATTGTTCACTGAAACTGATAGACAAAGACTGTATTAGTAGTATGTGCCCAAAATAATTTCACACACACACACACACACACACACACACAAATTGATTAACAGTTGTAGTTGGTTAATATTTGTATTAGTTTGGTTTAACTTTAAATGTATGAAATAAATATATATTTTATATATATATTTATATATATATATATATATCTCCTTCCCCAAAGCAAGACGAAGTACAATAGGCAATTAAAGCATGGTCTTGGTTTGGGGGCACTCAACTTTGAATTTTCACACTCTTGTAAATTTGCTGTGCTGAGAACCTTTTTACTCCTGTTTAACATTCAGGACAAAAGCAATGTACATGTCTATAGGCCTATTTGTCAAGAAATAAAAGTAATAAATGAGAGACACATTTGAATAACAAGAGTGAACTAGACATGAGAAAATAGAACAGGCCTGGGCAGCTTCAATTCTCCATCTTAAAATTACTCACTATTGTTGAGAATAATAGAATATCAAAAGAAGAAATCCAAAACTCAAATTAATTCCTATCCTCCCAGGAGAAGCTGCCTGCCTGATTCTGATCTGTCTTTCATGCGTTGTTCTCACTCAAACTTACAATTTCAAGGGCTAGAGTGTCACTCCAATATGCAAAGAGGCATTGGCATTAATAAGAGTTATATTTAGAAATCCTTCTACTGTGAGATAGAATACAATATTAAACTTGTGAATTTTAAGGTCATGACAAGGACACATTGACTAGCTAAAGTTTCAGAATTATGTAAATGAGCTCCTTTGGTAATCACAGGCTTTACAAATGTTCTGTCCAAATTAAAAGGGAAAAGTTTGTTCATTCTTCCTGCAAATAAGGACCATCAGGATGGGCATGTTATATTCTGGTAACAAACCATCCCAAAATCTCAAAGAGACTTTTAAAAACAAAGGTCTATTTCTTTCTCATCCCACATGGCCATGATTTTACTCTTGGCACCAGCTAACAGAGCAGCAACCATCCTAAATATTGCTGATTATTATGATAATGGGGAAAAATATTCTTAAAGTGCGTTGCATGAGTAATTAACTATTTCTGTCTAGAAGTGACTGTCACTTCTCTCACAACTCATTGGCTGAAACAAACCATGTGACCCCACACAATTGTAATGGGACAAGGAAGTATAATCTCTCCAGGTATCCAAAGGAAAATAAGATGACAACCAGAGCAGTAAACACAACAACAACAACGGGCTTCTCTTCTCACTAGCTTCCAGTTCGCATCCACCACTGAGAAACACAGGGGGAAATCAGAGGGAGGCAGAAGAGTGGAGGCCCCACTCCCTTTACGATGGTGTTGCTGCTGGCTGGCTGCATGACCCAGCCAGGGTTCAAAGTCCTGTCAGGTAGCCTACACCACATCCATTTCCTGGCTTTCCAGAGTAGTGGTCAAATCCTCTCTAGTTCCTTCAGGTCTAAGAATAACTCCCTAATGTTTCTAGTCCCAGGGTACTGAAGTATCCCCTGTGGTTTTCCTAATTGTTGTGGACTGAATTGTGTCCTCTTAGCATTCCTGTGTTGAAGCCCTACCTCCACAGTGCGATGGTATCAGGAAATGGGGCCTTTGGGGGATAATTAGGTTTAGAAAAGGTCTTGAGGGTAGGATCTTCATTATGGAATTAGTGCCCTTAAACGAAGAAACACCAAAGCTCTCTCTGTCTCTCTCTCTTCTCTCTTCTTTCTCCTCTCTTCTCTTTCTCTCACTCTCTCTCTCTCTCCTCTCTCTCCCTTTTTTTCTTTCTCTCTCAACTCTTTGACTCTTGACTCTCTCTTTCTCTCATTCTCCTCCTCTCACTTTCTCTCATTCTCCCTCTCTCCCCCCATTTCTCTTCTTGCTGTTTGAGAATATAGTAAGAAGGCAGCCATATGCAAGTCAGAAGATGGCCCTCATTAAGAATCTAGCCTTCCTGGCACCCTGACCTCAGAGTTCCAACTTCCAGAACTGTGAGAAATAAATTTATTTTGTTTAAGCCACCCAGTCTTTGGCATTTTCTTATGGCAGCCCAGCAGACTAAGACATTGATCCCACCTATACTCTTATAATAATCCCTTTATTAAACTCTTCTCAAATTACCTAATACGAATATGCCATCCCTTTCCTGCTGAGATCCTTACTAACGCAATATGCATTTTTAATTCTCCATTGTTTGTACCTATAATTTATCTCAAACTTGTAATTTCCTATATACATGACAGCTTAATTATGCCTTGGAAAATTAGAACAAACTTCTATTTAAAAGGGAGAAATGTTTAAGTAAATGTAGCATTTATGTTTTATTCAAGGCATTGTAAAGAGGAAGGCACAATACAGCATAATCATTCAGAGAACAGGACTTGGGTTTAGGCAGACCTGGGGTTTAGTCGCATCTCTACACATTGTAGCAAAGTTATTTGGCCACCTTACTTAGCTTCTCTAATACTCTCATGCCTTACCTGTCAAATAAGAATTATCATTTGCCTTACAACCAAGTTACAGAGTTGTAATGGCCCAAAACCTGGAGTAAAGAAAGCTATTACTATTACTCACTTACCAAAAATGCTTTTTTGGTATTGCTATTTTTTGTGATTTTGCTATTACTGGATATTGCTATTACTATTGCTTCTTGAAACCTGAGCAAATCTGTGGGTGCCAATTCTCACAACCATCACAGCCTACGGGACTTTTCCATTAAGGGGAATAGATAAGTGCCCATCAACAAGATCCAAAAGCAACATGAGCTAAGGCCAGGAGGCATCCTGCATTTGCCTACAGAAGATTATCTTCCACAGCAAAGCTAATCAAAGCTTTATTATCTTTAATGAAGTTCTCATATTAAATGCAGGACACTTGATATAATTTATCTTGATCAATTTTTAATGCTTAGAGGAAGTTGTTTGACAAATTATTTGTTCTGCCTGCACATTCTCTCTTTATCATTTTTCTTGCCTGCCACTACATTAAACGTGGACATGACCTACAGAGCGGAGTGAAAAAAACTAACAAGCATTAAGCCCCTACTTCAGCAACTAACAGGAGACTTATTCACACAAGACATCACTTAATTTTTCTTCAGCAACACAGAGTTTTCCATGGCTCAGTCAATAAGCATCTCACAGGAAAGTCAAACTGGGCTCTGGAGTCTCCATGTATTATGAGCCTTTGCAATGGGAAAAAGAACTTCTCGGCAGGCACATTAAATCGTGAAAGGTCTGAAAACCAACAACAATTGTGGTCAGGCAACCAGAAATGTTTGCTTCCTAAATCCCATGCCGAAAAATAATTTCTAATAAACTGCTACTTACAAATGACCTTGAAAGTACCTAATCGACCCATAATTGCAAGATGAAAGTGTTAGGAAAATGAGTTATATAACCTTAATCAACTTCCTTAACCTCTTTAGTTTTAGACTCCTCATTAAGACGGGGGAAAGAACAGTACAAAGGGCAAGGGCTGCTGAAAAGAATGAAATTAAATAAGGCATGCAAAGTATAGCACCTGATATAGAAGAAAATAATAACCGTTAGGTATTTTATTATTGTGATATCTGATATCCATTCTAGCTATTTCTAGCTATGAAATATTGATCCACTGCCATTTAGAAAATTTGATCCATCTTGCAAGAGAAAGGTTATTCTTGTTATATAACTACTCTTAGAGTTTAAGGCTTCCCTCTAATCATATGCATCCCAAAAGGATTTGACAGTTTTCAGTTGTCAAGGCCATCCCATGGGGGTGAAGATAACTAGCTTGTTAAATAATTCCATATCAATAAGCCAAACAGCTTTTTCTGATTTCTGGTTCATTGCACTATGGAATATAATAGAAATAAGATGTGGTTAATATTATGTGTCAACTTGGTTGGATAGAAGGATGCCTAGATAGCTGGTAAAGTATTGTTTCTGGGTATGTCTGGGAGGGTACTGCCAGAGGAGATTGACGTTTGAGTCAGTGGACTGGGAGAGGCAGACCCACCCTCAATGTGGGTGTGCACCATCCAATTGGCTGCCAGTGTGGCTAGAACAAAGCATGCAGAAGAAGGTGGAAGAAGCTGGCTTGCTGAGTCTCCTGGCTTTCATCTTCCTTCTGTGTACATGCTTTTTGTCCATTCCTCCTGCCCTTAGACATCAGACTCCAGGTTCTTTGGCCTTTGGGCTCTTGGACTTACACCAGTGGTTTGCCAGAGGCTCTTGGGCCTTCTGCCAACAGACTGAAGGCCGCACTGTTGGCTTCCCTACTTTTGAGGCTTTTGGACTCAGATCAAGCCACTCCTGGCTTCTTTCTTCCTCGGTTTACAGATGGCCTATCATGGGGCTTCACCTTGTGATCATGTGAGCCAATTCTCCTTAATAAACTCCCTTTCACATATGTCCTGTTAGTTCTATCCCTCTGGAGAACCCTGACTAATACATAAGGTGACCTTTACCCTAGGTGGCCTTGAGAGCTCCAGGAGACCAGGTTTTAAATATTAAACCTCAAATATCTACTAATTTGTTTCAAGGGTTCACTATAACTGTGAATTTATAATCTTAAAACAAGAAAAAGAAAAAAGGAAACAAGAAAAGAAGTACTTATTCATGTTTTAAGGTTTCTTAGTTTTCTGATAGGTATTTCTTTTACAACTCCTTTTATGACTCAAAGTATGCTTTTAAAATGGGGAGGGAGTATTATCCCAAATGTCCTTATTATCATTATCAATTCATCTACAAATATCCTACCATACAAGGCAATATTCCTAAAGGCATCCGCGCCAGATAGCTGATCATCGTTACTGGGTGAACTAGTCAGAAGGAAGGTATGTTTATGGAGTCAAACATTTCACAGTCCATTGTTTTTTCCCAGTCAGGGCCCAAAATGTAAGAAATTAAGCAAATGGAACTCTAGCCCTTCGAAATATTTTTCTGTTTAGTCAATTTCCTTGGAAAGAAAAGAGAGGTCTTAAAGCAGAAATAGGCATTTTTACTCAGAAATTGTTGCCATATTAGCTTAAGGGAGTGAAGCCTATCATATAAAAGTGCAACTCAACCAAATTTGGCATGCCACTCCAGATACTCCACCTCTATACTAAAGTCCAAAGCTGGGTAAAATTTGAGCTTTCTTTTTTTTTTGAGACAGACTCACTGCACCTCCGACTCCCTAGTTCAAGCGATTCTTCTGCCTCAGCCTACCGAGTAGCTGGGATTACAGGCACGCATCACCACGCCCAGCTAATTTTTGTATTTTTAGTAGAGATGGGGTTTCACCATGTTGGCCAGGCTGGTCTCAATCTCCTGACCTCATGATCCGCCCGCCTCGGCCTCCCAAAGTGCTCGGATTACAGGCATGAGCCACCACGCGCAGCCAATTTGAGCTTTCTTATAGGATTATAATTTTTTTTTTAAGATTTAATACTGATTTTTTTTTCCAGAATAAACTTTCATAAGACAATCCCATTATTATGGCATGGGCAGACGCCTCCTGCCTTGTATCCATCTCATCTGCAGTTGACAATCAGAGAATCCACAAAGTGACTGCCTACCAAAGACTACAAAATAAAAGGGCACAATAAAGTGTCCTTTAAAACACCTTCAAAAACTCCTGAATACACATTGTTCTACAAGGTGACTTTCTTGAACTCTTCGAAAGTGAATGTCATGAAAACCAAAAACAGACATACACCAAAAAAATAAAGCAAGCAAGAGAGCAAGAAAGTAAGGAAGAAAAAAAGAAAGAAGAAAGACTGAGGCACAGCCATTATAATGGCTAAATTTTTTTAAAAACATACCTTACCAAGTATGTTGGCAAGAAGGAACTGGAACTCTCTTGCATTGCTGGTGAAAATGTAAAATGCTACAACCACTTTGGAAAACAGCTTTGCAGTTTCTTAAAATGTTAAACATATACCTACTATATGATTCAGCCATTCCAATCTAGAAATACACTCAAGACAAAAAAAGCAAATGTCTGTACAAAGACTTGCCCACCAATAGTCACAGCAACTTTCTTTGGAAAAGCCAAATCATGGAAACAACCCAAATGGGCATCAACAGGTAAATGGATAAACACATTGTGATATATCCACAAGATGAAATGCTGTGCAGCAACAAAAGGATGAACTATTGACACATGCAAAAACATGGAGGAATCTCAAAATAGTTACACTGAGGAAAAGAAGCCAGACACAAAATAGTACATACTGTATGATTCCCTTTACATGAAAACCTACAAAATTCAAATTATCTCTAATGACAGAAAGATCAGTGGTTGCCAGAGGATGAGGGAGGAAAGTAGAGTGAGGACAACAGAGAAAGTTTACAAAGGGGAACCAAGAAGCTTTGGGGGTGACATATACATTCATTGCCTAGATTGTGATGATAGTTTCACCATGTATACATGTCTAAACTTATCAAATTATACACTTTAAATATATGCAGTTTTATTTCAACTATATCTCACTTTAACATGTAAAAAAAAGATGGAGGGACTACTCTAGATTAAAAGAGGTTAAAATTCATCCAAACATGTGAACATTGGACTCTTCTTTTAGAAAAATCACATAAGATAATTGCAGGACAATTGAGGAAACTTACATATGAATTGCATAAGTAATATGGTACTTGGGTTATTTCTTCTAAGATATAACAACAGTATTGTGGGGAAGTTTTTTCTTTTTTTATTCTGTTATAGCAGCCCAAACTGACTAAGACATTATTCCTATTTTGCAGACAAAAAAAATAACACAAAGATTAACTAGCTTGCCCAGAGTTATATAGGATAACTGGAAGAGCAGGTACTTATACCAGGGCAGTCTGAGTCTAGAGCTGGTACTCAAGTCTGAGCTCCCAATGCCTCTGAAGTCCAGGCAAGAAACATAATGAGCGGGTGGGGCCTGTGACAAACTGGTACATTCAATTCCTGCTCCTCGGCCAATATTGTCACGTCTTTGGACTATTCAAAAAAAAAGCCTGAAATTTGAATTTAAAGGCAAAATTTCTTGGTTGCTTTTGCTTGATTATTTGTTTACATAGGAGAAATTTCATTTTTAAAATATAATACTGATAAGAAGTAGACATTTTGAAAGAGAAATTCTGCCCATAAGCCATCAATTTAAAATCTATATCAAAACTATTAAAGCCCTTTGGCACTGCTGCATTAAGAAATATATTGAGAATTTCCAAGAAATTCTGTCTTTATGGAATCCATGATCCAAGCCAAAAGTTAAAATATCTACCCCTATCCACGAGGCCCTATTCAATGATATTTCTGAAACTAGAAACTTCTATTATGCCGAAACACCAGATGGGTAACAGGTTTTGTGGAATGCACAAGCAGTACACACAGAACTTTGAGCATTCTTTCTCTCTTCACCATTTCACCAGGTCTCTGTGTCTATAGTACACAGAGGGGACACAGAACACAGAGAAGACAATGTTAGCAAGGGAATCCTTCTCTAACTTCTGTCCCCAACCGACCTCACCTTGTCAACTTTCAAGAAGAAAAGGCAGATATGGCAAAGATAATAGCATCTACTTCCTCTACTCAGTGCCACCAACAGATGCTACAAATGCTGACAGCACCATACTTCATTTAGTTCCCTGTGCAGGATTGGGGGTTTCTGAGAATCTCATTGCCGGCATACTCTCGCTCTGCTGTTTTCTCTTGAGGACCACTTCCCTTTCTTCACCTCATCACTGGGCTCAGGTCCTCACTGATGGGCTTTCTTTCTAAGGCTAAGGAAAAGGGAAAGAGGAGAGTAAAAGAGCAGAAAAGTTCCCCTAGTGTGTGCACGACACAAGTAATCCTCTACAAGGTAACATTTCTGTGTTGGCAACCCTAGAAGCAGGTGCAACAAGTTAGTGCCAAGGAGAAATCAAGGTCATAATAATAGTATTATTTAAGCACTTATTATGTACTAGGTATTGGATAAGATACTCTCTAAACATCATCACTAGAGCTCTGAGGAAGACTCTTAGGGCATCTCAAAGATGGAGAAACTGAGACTCAGAATAAGTTTACCTGTCTCAGTCTAGGGTTCACGTTTTATAAATGCCACACCAGGGACTCCAATCCAGACCTCATGCTGGTCCCAGAGCTTTTTCCATCATAACATTCTGTCTCTAGGAGCAAAGATTTATGATGAAGAAGAAAGAATGGGGTTAGAAAAAAAACAAAAACAACTTCCAAAACAGAAGAGCACACCTCCCTATTGTAAGCTTCAGCCACCAGCTCTCCAAAGCTAAAGCTTTGTTTCCAAAGCTTTGTTTCTCACTGTCTCACCAACAGAATTACGTGGGGGAGCTCACTTAAAATACCAATTCCTGGGTCCTACTCTAGACTTAATGAATCCACATCTCTAGGGTGGGGAACCAGGAATGTGCATTTCTAATTGCAAACCCACAGTGGATTTTAATCAGTGGTTCTTCAACTGAACCACTGAATTTGATGATTCAGAAAAGGAGGAAGGCAGAGTCTAACAATCTCTACCAGATATTCAAAGATGAAAAAGACACTTTAAAGTAATAACCGAGGAAGGAGCTTTTGCTGCCAGACATACAATTTTTAATTTTTTTGAGGCAAATAATTATTATCAACAAACATCTCAAGGAAACCTAGTCCATTTATTTTACTTGTTTTGACATCTGCTGATAATGACAAGCTACAGGGAAAAGCGGGTTTCAGGATTGCAGCACTTAGTTAATTTGTGGCTGATTATTAAAAAATAATATATGCAGCTCCGTGTTTCTCCAGAGGTGAGAGTTACAAATTACTATGCTTGGTCCTGTTGCCACTGCCACTGCTGATGTTATTGTTTTTAAAGAATTGCAGCCTCCATATGTTTGTGAATATTAATAGTTTGAGGTTTTTCAGGTTGCCATAGCCACCTCAGCTCCCTTCTGCCGGCAGGACATGGTGCACTGGCAGTCAGTATTGTGAAGGAATCCACGTATGTAAATGTAACCTGGGAAGCTGCTCAAGCTGGAAACAGCCTCTTTCCTTCCCACGATTCCCAGTTTTAATCGTTAGTGACCAAAATGCACATGCTTCCAGCCCACTAGCCATCTCAAACCCAGCACAGTTATCCTCATACATCCATCCTCCATATCCCTGGTAACCGATCCTTCACTGTGCTTTTTTGAACCTTTATACACACATTCTGACTCAATCCTTCTGGCAATACTTCCTCCACCTTCTCTCCTAAACTGAAACATGGCCCTTCCCTGATTATGATGACACTGAACTCCTAAGTATATGCAAATCCTGGTGATCATTTTCTTTTCTAACCCGTCCCTCACCCTACCATCCCATTATCTCAAAAACTACAGGTAGGTGGGTACCAGCCTCAATGTTTCTGATTCCTCCACTGTTTGACCATTCCCTTTCAGGGAATCCTCCTTTTATTAACCTCCTCCATCTAATTTTGCCATGCCTTTCTGATCTCAATCTTTGTCTTCTAACCTCTGTGGGACCCCCAAGCTTTCCTATGGGTCCCATCTCCTATCACCCCCCTTAAGGAACTACACAGAGATTAGACGCCAGCCTCAGCTACTTTACCTCCTCTACTCTAAAGCTGTTGCTTCAGCTCCATCTCTTGTTGATTTAAGTTCTACCTACAGGCCAGATCAAATGCTTCCACCATAGTGATGAGTTTTCTACATTTCCAAGTTGACTGACATTGTCTCTGGATCCACAAAGCATGTGAAGCTGTGGAACACAGTGCTTAGGAATGTGGTCATTGGATTAAATTATGCAGGTAAAGTCCTGGCTTTTCCACTTTGCGCCCCTGTGGTTCAGGACAAGTGTTCTAACCTTAAGACTTCAGTTTCCTCACCCCTAAAATGATAACAGTAATAACATCTATTTCACAGAATCATTATGAAGATGGAAGAGATAACTTCTGGGTATAATTTAGATTAGTTGAAGATAAGAGGAAACATAACTCATACTAGCATAAGCAACAAAAGTGTATTACTGGCCCACTAATCTGAAAGTCCAGAGAAAAAAGAGTCTTCAGGCTGGGTTTGATTTCAGTGGCTAAGCCACAGATTCAAGAAGTGGTTTCTTTTTTACTCCCTCTGTTCTGCCTTCTGTGGAGTCAGCAGGCTTGCTTTCCCTCACAGGTACAAGGAGCTTCTTCTTCCAAAGCAAAGGAATGAACAAAATGATCACTTCAAAAAGTTCTCCCAAAATAGTGAGAGAACTTTTCCAGCCATTCTCAGAAAAACCTCTCATGGCCTGTAGTCCAGATGTGAATAGCTCTTCCCATTCACATGAGAAATGGCTCTTCCCATTCACATTCACAAAGTCCCATCCTTGAACCATTGCCTGGGGCAAGGGAATTCCTTGCACTAATTGGCTCAGACCTGCTCACCCTAGCACAGAGAAAGGGATTACAAATCCTGGAAAGCATCTTTCCATCTATAAACTGCACAGTAGGTATAAGATAAGGAAGAAGAGGCAGTTGGATGTTGGGAGGATGACATAATATTCACAATGGATGGTCAAGTCCTTCACTAATGATGGGAAATTAGTAAACACCCTGCTAAAATCAGCAGTGATTACTACATCATTTTTACCATTGATGACTACTTCTCATTCTTCTTTATATTATCATTTACTGTCAAACACTGCATGTTCTCACTCATAAGTGGTAGCTGAACAATGAGAACACATGGACACAGGAAGGGGAACATCACACACCGGGGCCTGTCACGGGATTGGGGAGCTAGGGGAAGGATAGCATTAGGAGAAATACCTAATGTAGATGATGGGTTGGTGGTTGCAGCAAACCACCATGGCATGTGTATACCTGTGTAACAAATCTGCACATTCTGCACATATATCCCAGAACTTAAAGTATAATTTTAAAAAAAGTTAAAAAAAAAGATTGCTCCCCATACCCTGTGCAACGATTACTGATCTTTTCGCCACTAACATACACTAACATGAACTTTTTACCACTAACGTACACACCCCAAATTCTGTACCTAGCAGTGTCCATACAAGAAACCTACCTTCGATACATGCTTTTTGGATAAATGAATAGACTGTAAAAGTGATCCTATCCAATGTCAAAGTCTCTTTCTGGCAAGAATTACAGATCACTCTAGATTATTTTATGCTCTTCAGTACAGAAAAATGTAATACATTTTAAAAAGTCTTTTTTATACAAAATAATATTACTAACCCATCACCATAACACAGGCACAGAGAGCAAGTATGTCTTTGGTATTTTCTGTCTGATCAGTAAACGCTTATCCTTTACTACAATTACATGCAATTTCTTCTTTTATAGCTTTCTTTCACTATTATTTCAGAGGTACATGATTCCATTTGACCAGACTAGATGCACTACGAAGAATAACATGAGACATATAATTTGTTTTGGTCAGTGTACCCTCATAATAAAAGCTAAAAGATCTTCAAATGAATAAATTCTAAGACCCTATAGTTTTCAAAACCACAAATTATCAGAAATTCTCCAATATTATACAGTGTAAAGAGATAAAATACTTACATAGGAAAAGACTTCCCTGTTAAGATTAATCTTTGAAATGTCTCATTTTCCATGAAAAATATTTAATCATCTTATACCAATATAAAGACATATATTCTTTATTCTGCCCAATTTTTTTAATAAATGAAATTACTTCTAAACAATTTTATTTTAATGCTTTTGAAAAGTAGATGATATTAGCAATTCTGCAATAATTTAACTAGCAAAGGCATTGTTGTAATTTTTAGATAGATGTGGTAAATGGCTCTATATGGGAGTTGTTTCTGGTTTTTAATTCCTGGTATTTCTTTTAAAGCCTGCGTGATTCTAGACTTTTTTAAAATATAATATTAAACTTGGAAATGTCTTTGAGAGAAGAAAAGTGTGTGTGGGAGACTGTAAAACAGACTGGCCGTCTCAGAGTAAAATGAGAGAAAATGTGGACGCTCTGTCTTTTAACAGAAAGCTGTAGCAGTGCAGAACCTTTGCTTCTTCTCTGTAGAGACCATGCAGTGAATTTTTAAG
The DNA here is from genome assembly GCF_000001405.40 of Homo sapiens. Lineage (NCBI taxonomy): Eukaryota > Metazoa > Chordata > Mammalia > Primates > Hominidae > Homo > Homo sapiens. The sequence continues at coordinate 163,256,263 of NC_000005.10, forward strand.
AGTAGAAACTGATGAAAGAGTAAAACAAGAAATGTTTAGAGAATATAAACTAGTCAGACCATCTGAACTTCATGGAAAAAGCAATACATTTTAAAATCATAATAATAGCACATGAGCCCAATCTAGGTAACACTACATATAGAAAGCTATATTATACATTATACATCTAATAATCCATATGCATGACCAGTCACATTTCAATTTCACATGTCTCCTAAAATTGCCACTTTGGTTTATCTCTAGCCACAAGCTTTTCACTATCCAATACAAAGCAAAGTCTCAGAAAATAATGAAACAAGATGAAGGAGAGCTCATGCAGTGGACAATAGTATATCCCCACAGAATTTGATGCCTGATCCAACTCAATGAAGTAGATATTGTTACCTGAGGCCAAGATGTTAAATAATTTTGTTCTATGCTTCTGAGTATTGGGAATCGGGTCCCAAAGACACTGATGGCATTGTAATGTGAGATCTAACCAATAAATCTCTTTCCCAAAGCAAAATCCAGCAGAGAAAGTGGGCACCATTGATCTCACACAGCCAACTAAATAGCCAAAAGGTTGAGCAATGTAAGTTATTCTATTACCTCTGTTGAATTTGGGTGATGAGTCACTCGGGTGAAGCTTTTGATATTTCCTCAGTGATCAGACTGCTTGATGGTACAGCCAAAATTCATTTAAATCCATATTCCCTGCAGCCTCCACTCTGGCTTCCTTGGTGACCCTAAGTACAAAAACAGAGATGCAACCAGTACGATGGGAGGGCCTTCTTGATAATGATTATAAAACCACTTATTTCCAGGAGATACACACACAAATAGGCTTATGAAGAGATGCTCAATCTCACTCATTATTCAAGAATAATAAATTAAGGCAAAAATTAAATGCTATTTTTACCCCAAAATTTAAACCATATGAGAATTTGGGAAAAAATTTCTCACCTATGGGAGGATATATTGATGCACTCTTGTTGTTGAATCTAAATTTTAAACATGCATACATTTTGAAACAGTAATTCCCATTTTTATAAATTGAACCCTAGGTAAGTGTTCAGAGATGCATACAGATGATATTACAGTGTTGAATAAGGAAGTAGCTAAATTAATTATAGTAAATCCATGCAGTGGAATGTCGTGAGGATCTAGAAAGAATGAGGTAAATCTATATATACTGATACGGAAATTATCCCAATGATATTGCAAAGTGAAGAAAAGTAGTTTGAATAGCAATAGCTATCACATGATTTCCATTTCCATGCTATGATTCTCATTTGTGAAAACAGCATATACATATTTTTTTCCTTGTGTACATAGAAATTTCTGGAAGTATAAAATACCAATAAGTCTGTGGAGGGGAACACTAAGGTAGCAGTGGCAGGGGTGAAGTCAATGTGGATACAATAGGACCTTAACTTCCCACCTATTCTTTCTTTATTTGACAAAAATGTTTACATGAGGTGGCAAGAGATTCTCTTCTCTCTTATCTTGCCTGTGTGAAGGCGAAATTGGATGGTAAGTGTACAGTATAAAGAGCCTGTCAGACACCAGTGAATATTGGGTCCCCTATTAAAACATGACTGAGTGTGCACAAACACACCCACACATACACAACCCACTCCCTTCCACCAGCTTCTAAAACCTGATATCCTAGTATGCCTTCCATCAGGGAATGTCTCCATTTCTTCAAGGTATTCTTATTTCACAGGAAGATAGGCGAGAGGGACTAGGACAAGAGTTAATTTGGCCATTGTTGTCACTTGATAGCTAGCTTATATTTTTCAAAAGAGAAAGAATCTCTTGTTCTATTTTACATTTCTAAAACAGAGAGAAATAAAATCTTCCCAGGTGCTATCTGTGACTTAGGCAAATGCTGCATCCTGCTCCCCACTTCAGTCAATCTTGAGAGAACAACTGGGGTGGGAACATTTAAAATATACCTCTGCTGTGATTGAAAACTGCAAGAATAATGAAACTTTAAGCATAATAATGTTGAAACAACACACAGTGAATTGTGGGGATTCTGACAGTCAGTGAGATTTCCAACTCCTTGTCTCTCTCTCAAATCACAGAAACAGTAAAAAAAAAAAAAAAAAAATACCTTCAGTCAGTGGTCTCCAAAACAGATGTTGCTCTCACACATCAGCAATAAAGAAATTTTGAGCAAGCAGTCACAAAGTCACATACATCACACCATTTTACTAATATTACCAAATACAAAAATTAAAATTAAAACATGACATTTAAAATATACAGAAAATCAAATTTCTAGTATTTTTTCCCACATCCAATGGGTTTCTGTTCCAAATAACTCATTAAGAAGAAACTATCATGCTCTCTCTTACACAATTATAAAAGTTACACCCCTAAAATATTACAACTTCATCTACTCAACCAGCAAAATCTTTTGAGACAACTTTTACTGCTAAAATGCCTCCTTAGAGAGCGTAGCGAAACAAAACTAATTTGAGGAAATTTATTATTATTCTTTCAATTTGGAGGGGGTAGATACTATTATGAGTGCTCTGTAGGTGCCAAGCATTGTCAAGAGCCTTAAAACATTTGACTTTTAATTTTTCCAACCACTCTGGATAGTAAACCTTATTCCCATCTTTCAGTTACAGAAACTGAGGATTAAAGCAGCCCAAGATTAACTAGTTAGAAACTGGTAAGATATCACATCAGAATCTTACTTTGACTGATTCCAAATCCAAACACTTAATCAGTCTATTTACTGCTTAGAAAAGGGAAACACTAGGTGTAAAAAAAAAAATGTGTAATGTGGTTACAGAATCTGAAATCATGAAATATTACGTAGTCAAAAAGATAAGAAGCAGTTTGAGAGCTAGGTCTTCTCTCATTCCATATCTGTGAGATTTATCACTTAAAGCTCACAGATATACCTACACAGAAAGATTTTTCTGTAGCTAACAATAAAACAGGACCCCACCTGTATTTATCACCAGGTACACTACACCTTAAGAACTTTGGTAGGGAAGGTTTGCAAGCTTGTCCAACCCGCAGCCTGTGGGCTGCATGTGGCCCAGGACAGCTTTGAATGCAACCCAATACAAATTGGTAAACTTTCTTAAAACATTATAAGATTGTTTGTGATTGTTAATGTTAGTGTATTTTATGTGTGGCCAAAGACAATTCTTCTTCCAATGTGGCCCAGGGAAGCAAAAGATTGGACACCCTTGGTTTAGGAAAAACATTTTCCACAAATTTAAAGTTGTCTCTTTATAACTTTCTATTACTTTATTTAAAGTGAAAATAAAACCCACATAGATTTTTTTAAATTAAATCTGTGCATATGATTTGTGTGAGAAATTCTTTTTTAAATAATTTACTCTGTGGCAGTGGTTCTCAATGGGGGAGGATTTTGGCTTCCAAGGACATTTGGCAATGTCTTGAGACAGTTTTGGCTGTCACCACCAGGGTAGGGATGCTTCTGGCATCTAGTGGGTAGAGGCCAGGGATGTTACTAAACGCTCTACAGTGCACAGGACGGTCCTCTACAACAAATAATTATCCTTCCCCAAATGCCAATAGTGCCAGGTTGAGAAACCTCACTCTAAGGAAATAATCAATGATATTGTCAAAAATAACTATCCAAATGTGTTCATCACAGCACTATTTGTGATTGTTTAATAATGAGATGTTAAATTACAGTACATTTATTCATTAGAACACTGTAGCCATTTAAAATGATGTTGGCCAGGCACGGTGGCTCATGCCTGTAATCCCAGCACTTTGTGAGGCCTAGGCGGGCGGATCACGAGGGCAAGAGATCGAGACTATCCTGGCCAACATGGTGAAACCCCGTCTCTACTAAAAATACCAAAAATTAGCTGGGCATGGTGGCACGCACTGAGGCAGGAGAATCACTTGAACCAGGGAGGTGGAGGTTGCAGTGACCCAAAGTAGTGCCACTGCAATCCAGCCTGGGTGACAGAGCGAGACATCATCTCAAAAAAAATAAAAATAAAATAAAATGATGTTGCAGGAGAATATTTAACAACATGAAGAAGTGTATATGAATTTACATGTCCTAAATTAGTATGTTTGGTGTGGTTATAGTATTATAAAAGTATACATATACTTACATACAGCATGGAAAATATTTTGAAAGAATATTGACCAAAATATTAATAACGTCTGTTGCTGAAAGGAGATCCTATAAAATAATATCCATGACCAACGTCATTAAAAATATTGACACACTTATCCTGAGGAGGAAAAGCACAGTTGATCTAAGCTATCATCTCAAAATCAAAGCCTTCTCAACATACAACATTTTTGCAACATCTCTTTTCGGAACATGTCAGTGGAAGAGTTTTATTTCCTGACATCAAGTTCCTTAATGATAGAAGAGGGGAGCAGCAGGTGTTTCTCACCAGGTGCCTTCATGATGGAAGCAGATAGAGTTCACTGGAATATTTTTGTTCAGAGCCAAAATAGCACATACTATTCTCGTGCCTTGTCTTTAAAAGCCTTCTTTGTTACACTATGATTCAAAAGCAAAATTACTCTTTTGCACCCACTCCAAGAACAGTATGATCATGACACTCTGCAAACTGAATAAATGTTTGAAACATCATGAACATCACATATCCCCATATCAGAATGTTGTATGAGTAGGAGGCATTATGATATCATCTGCTGTGCAGCCTCTTAACTTCCTATTGCAATTCAGAAATATTATTGGTGTCCCTCCAGAAACACATTCTTTATTTTAGTGACCAGTAGCCTCATTGTGAATAAGCCCAAAAATAAAATAAAATGAAATGGCAATAAGTCTCCACAAATACTACAATGTTTATATAAACCAAAAAAAAAAAAAAAACTGACAAGAGAAAGTTTGCTCACCAATACACTTGAACTTCTTATCTGCACCAGCCAGAGAAAGGAAACAGGAAGAGGTGAAGGAGAAAGGGAGAGAGGAAAAGAGGACTATCTATTATTTACAAAGGAGCAAAGATTATATAAAATAAAATGTCCTTGCTTATATTCATCGAAAAGAGGTCCAAATAGCTTACAGTTACCCATGGTACTAAGACCATTTCTTCTATTCTGAAATATTAAATAAGAACAATATTTTCTTAATGGCTCCAGAAAAGAGAAAGTACTTTTGTTATGGTTGTTCATCCATTACATTACATATCATGTAAAATCGTTGAAAGCACATTAACTCTCTGACTCAAGATCATAAAATAATCATATGTACATGCCTTTATTTCCTTCCTAAAATCTTAGGAAAATACCAAAAAACACGTATTTTTTTAAACACTGACAAACTCTGGAAAATAGAAAATCATTTCATCAGTGAGCCAAACTTTGAAGAAATTTCTGAAAAGCAGAGAGCAAATAGAATAAGATTGACAGAAGAGTCCAAGTAAGAGAGACAATTAAAGAGAAACAAAAGAGAGGGGCACTACAGAGCCACTTTTCCCAGTGGTGATACAACAAAACTCCAAGTTTAGAGTCAACAAGAACTGGAAGGAGCATCAGGACATGGAACAGCCCTCAGGGTAATTAACGAGTGGGCCAGTTTCCAGCCAACATCCGTGTGTACAGACAGGCTGATTGCAACATGCATCCCAGATAGAGCACAGTAAAAAACAGTTCTCTAAACCTATGCTGTCCAATATGGCAACACACGAGTGGCTAGTGGCTTCAGTATTGGACAGAACAGCCCCAGATCATTTCTATTATAGCAGAAAATTTGATTACATGCCACTACTCTAAACAAAGTGGGAGGTCTGATGATAGTAGCAAGAGTAGAGAAGGACATACAGGAGAGGAACTGAAAAAGGAATTTTCCTGTCATAAGCGCGGGGCCTAGAAATGAAGCAGAAATGAACTAAGATAAGTGCAGACACACAGAGAGGAAAAGGCAGCTCTGTGCAAAACTGAAATGATTTTTTTTTCCTCTTCAAGTAAAAGGCAGCAAGAATTACAGTGGTTAAGAGGATGGTCTCTGGAGCCTGAATGACTAGTGTTGTTCATATTTATAGCTATACAGCCTTAACACATTAAATGCATAAGGTAGAACAAGTGAATTAAAGCCCTTGGTACATGTTTTCTTATCTGTTATATCAAATAATATAATAGTCTCTACCTCACAGAATTATGGGAGTATTAGTTAATTTATATAAAACCCTCAACAAGTGTTTGCTCCTGCAATTGTTATATTATTACCACAATAAATTTTTCTATACTCAGAGCAAAGCCATCCTTAATTTGACAGAAGTAGAGAGCGTGAGATTGGTACCCACCCTCCATGCATCCTAAGAAGACAACCTATCCCCTGTACACATTATTTACAAAGAGTCAGCTGGTAGTTAGTCCTCCCAATCCTGTGACAGTCCTGTTTCTTAAACAAGCAAACAAAACTGTGGAGGACTCACGTGCCATCTAGTCTTTTAATCAACTTTGTCTTTTATGTATAAATTTGAAAAAAAACTTTCAAACTCCAGACATCTGAGGACAACAAGAACATGAAAGAGAAAGATAAAAATAAACATTAAAACTGACTTCAGAGGAAATAGACATTATATAAGCAACATAAGATAATTTTTTTTAAAAAAACAGACTTTGACACTTAAGATATTTTATAAGTAAAACAAGAAAGTACTATCTTAAAAGGTAATCAATATCATACTGGAAATTGAAAGCATGATTGAAAAAAAAAAAGAAAGAAAAAAATGCAGAATGCCAAGAGAAGAAAAGTAGCAGAACACTTATATCTTGTTTTTAGAAAGAGATAAGTATTAATCACTTTTAATTTTTTAGAAAACTAGGTTAAAATGTGTTCATTAAAATTTAAGAGGAATTACTAAAATTAATGTGATCTAAAACAATAAAATAACAAGAAAATAAAGAAAAAATTTACTTAGTAAAATATAAGACAAAGGAAATATAGGTAAACAGAAACATTAAATACGAAGGAAATAATAACCCTATTTGTGTCAGCAATCACTATATATGTACCCAAATTATATTCTTCTAATAAGAAAATATATATATATAATTAAGTTTTATATAGCTATATGCTATATAAAAGAAAAAAAAAGGTTGACTACAAGGTATGAACAAAGGTATACCTGTAAGTGTAAACAAAATGAAAGCAAGTACGGTAAAAAAAATATTAGATATAGAATTTAAGGCAGAAGGTATTAAATGAACTAGAGCAAGCTGTTTCATTTTAGTAGAAATTACATTACACCAAAGCAAACAAGCAGGAAAAAGAAAATTTATGCTCCTAATAACACAAAGTAAAGATATATAAATGAATAACCACTAAAAATGTAAGAACTCATAAACATTATAATAATGTTGAGACTTTACATACTTAATTTAAAATGACATATCAAGTAATCAAATATTGCAAAAGGTCATAAAATACTTGAGTAACAATAAGTTTCTTGTATCTAAGAAATAGAGCATGTATAATCTTTTTGAATGTCCTTAAAACATTTACAAAAATTAATCATATTTTTGAACCCCTACTGAAGCCATAATTTGCAAGAAGTAGAGACCATTTTGCCATTACCTTATAATAGAATAGAATAGAAATTAATAATTTTTTAATATTTGGTAAAGGAAAAATAAATTTTCCATAAAAGAACTAGATCTCCCATACAGAATTTCAAATAACTTATGTAGACCCTGCCCCATCAAGGAGCTTAACTCTCCACCATTTAAGTGTAGGCTGCACTTAGTGACTTACTTACAAAGAATAAGAGTATAGAAAGGAAGAAAAGGTAAATTTACACTGGAGACTCTGACAAGCGCTACCTCAGCCAGATCTTAATATGATATAACAAGAATGGCACTTCATCTCTGTGATCTTCTTTCCTTCCTTAATGTTAATCATGGAAAAAAATACTTCAAACCCAAAATAAGGGATACGCTACAAACAATAACAAAAAAAACTGACCTCAAAGCTATTAAAGTTATTAAAAATTAAGAGACTGAGAAATGTTCACAAACCAGACGGAGCCAAAGAGACGTATAAAGTAGTATCTTGGATGGGATCCTGGAACAGACAAAGGACATTATTTTTAAAAACTATCAAAATTCAAATAAAGTATAGAAATTTGTTAACAGTAATGTACTGATGTTGGTTCCTTAGTTGTAACAAATGTACCACAGTAATGTAAAATATTAACAATAGGAAAAACTAGGTGAGGTGTATATGAGAACTCTCTGTATTATCTTTGCAATATTTCTGTAAATCTAAAAGTATTTTGAAATAAAAAGTTTATTTAAATAAAAATTAATTTTAAAATATAGCAAAAAAATCCGTTCAAGAAAGAAACACCTAGTTGATTTCATTCATATGAAATTCTAGCAAATGCAAAGATAGATATAGAGCTAAATAATCAGAACAATGCTTACCTCTGGAAGTGTAAAGGATTGAGTGGGACAGGGCATGAGGAAACGTTAGGGCTCATAGGCATGATAATATTCCATATCTTGATTTGGATTTGGATTACGCAGCAATATGCATTTGTCAAAATTCAGTGAAGATACACTTAAGAGTTGGGCATTTCATTGTATATAATTTTTAAATCGTGGCCAGGCATGGTGTCTCATGCCTATAATCCCAGCACTTTGGGAGGCTGAGATGGGTGGATCACTTGATGTCAGGAGTTCAAGACCAGCCTGGCCTACATGGCAAAACCCCATTTCTACTAAAAGTACAAAAATTAGCTGGGCATGGTAGCATACACCTGTAATCCCAGCTACTAGGGAGGCTGAGGCAAAAGAATTGCTTGAACCCAGCGGGCAGAGGTTGCAGTGAGTCAAAATCATGCCACTGCACTCTGGCCTGGGCCACAGAGAGAGATTCCATCTCAAAAAATAAATAAATAAACATGTAAATGAATATTGAACTGTAGTTAATGATATGCATTATGAAATACATAGACAGAAATATACTGAAATCTGCAATTTACTTTGACATTTATCCAAAAAAGAATATGATGGCTTAATGCATAGAGCGAGCAATGGGTAGGCGAATAGCTATGTGGTAAGCAAGTAGAATAAAATGTTAATGTTAGAATTTAGGTGATGGGAATATGTGCATTTATTCGCAAATATTTTCAAAATCATAGTGTATTCATAATAAAATATAAAAACAGAAATTAAGGAAATTTTAGAATTAAACTATGCTAACCATCAAAAACTATGCTGGTAAATAAAGGAAAAAGATCATTAAAAGTTCAAGGAATTAACAGACCAGATGTTGAAGGATAGCAACTGGATTTGCCAAGCATGATAATAGGCATTGAAATCATAAGGAAGACAATGCAATAAGGTAGGGACATTATGGGGAAAAAGAGATTATGCATTTCCAGAAGGAGCAGGGGTTTTTATAAGACAGGGTTCTGGTCTAGAAGAGGTAATAGAGAATGAGTATATAAATCTTAGCATCTACTTGAGGTACATGGAGCAGGAGGGAAGAGGAAAATACAGCCTTTTTAAAAGAGGATTGAACGCACAGAATACACAGATTTTGATCACAATAAGAACAGAACATGATGCAAAGAGGAGAGGAGACACAGGACACTTTACTAATCAACAGCGCAGGTCCCAGAGGATACAGGAAGCTTTGGGATTCTAACAACGAGGGGTTGGCGATGTACAGATTGCTGTACAGATGACAAAAATGGGGGTGATAATGAAAGTCCAGGAAGATTTTGCCTTCTAGAGATTACTAAAGTAAATACAGATGTGTGGCATCGTGAAATTAATCCTCAGTCTCGTAGAAGAAAGAGAGTGATCAGATACAGTACTATGGACTGAAATGCTCAGGGAAAAAATTCAAACCTCACTCCTGTCTCAGACAGCATCTAGGGATACAGCTAAAAAGAAGCTGAAGAGGCCGGGCGCAGTGGCTCACGCCTGTAATCCCAGCATTTTGGGAGGCTGAGGTGGGCAAATCATGAGGTCAGGAGTTCGAGACCAGCCTGGCCAATATGATGAAACCCTGTCCGTACTAAAAATACAAAAATAAGCCTGGCATGGTGGCAGGCGCCTGTAGTCCCAGCCACTCAGGAGGCCGAGGCAGAAGAATGGCTTGAACCCGGGAGGTGGAGGTTGCAGTGAGCCAAGATCATACCACTGCACTCCAGCCTGGGCAACAGTGAGACTCCCTCTCAAATAAATAAATAAATAAATAAATAAATAAATAAATAAATAAAAAAGAAGCTGAAGAAAGGAGAATGGGATGCATGGGATGCATTTTTTAAAATCAGAAAATAATAGAAAACTAATCAAATTTTGAAAATGTAGACTAATAAAACGGAAGCCTGGTTCTCTGTAAAAATTAATAAAACAGACTTATTTAATTCTGGAAAGCATTATCAAAAAAATGAAAAAAGAAAACATCAAATAACCAATATTAATCATTAAAAAGAAAACATAACTGGAAATTCAAAGTATTACTGGTTTTCATTTTTGAAAAATGTCAAATATGTACAAAGATAGAAAGAATAGAACAATAAAACTTAAGGTACCCATTAACCAGCTTCAGCAATTACTATGGCTTATTTTGTTTCATTGCTATCACCATCCACTCCCTGCAGCCTATGTTACTTTGAAGCATATGTCAGATATCAAACCATTTCAGCTGTAAATATTCAGTGTGTATCACTAAAAAGTAGTATCTCCTTTTAAAGACAGCACTATATCATCATCACAGATTCAGTGTTCATATTTAAGTTTTCATATTTTTTAGTTCTTATAATTTTCTTGGTTTGTTTGTTTAAACCAGAATCCAAATAAGATCCATACATTACAATTGGTTGATATTCTTCTAGGTCTCTTCTAATGTATAGGTTTCCCTTCTCTCTTTAGCTCTTGCTTTCCCCCTATAAATGTTGTTGTTGTTGTTGTTGAGGAAGTGGTGTCTTTTATCCTGTGGTTTGCTTACAGTCTGGAGTTTGTTGATTATATCCTGCAGTGCTGTTTAATATATTCTTATATATTCTTCATTTGCTGAATATTGGCAGTTACATCTAGATGCTTCATAAGATTCAAATTCCATTATTTTATAAGACAACGTCATAGATGACATTGTGAACCTCCATCAAGATCTGATCATTTCTGCTTTTGTGATGTAGCAGCCATTGATAATCATTGCCTAGCCAATTAATTCACTGGCGTGAAAAAATTATATTTTATTTATATTGTCAAAAAAATTATCAGAAAACATTCTGTACAGCCTCATGCCAATAAATCAAAAACTCTAAATGAAATAAAAACTTCTCTTGGACAATGTTTTATGAATATTGAATCTGTAATCCGTAATAAACTTTAACAAACTACTTACCATACAAAAAATTAAAAAGATAATTATGAAACACTCATGTTTTAGAGACACATTTTCCCAAACTTCAAGGAACAGATAATTCCTTTGTTATAAACTGTTTCAGACCATAGAAAAAGATGAAAAACTTCACAGTTCATTTTATGAAGCAATACTAATTTTGATATGAAACCCAATAAGAGTATAATAAAAAGGAAATTATAAATCAGTTTCATTTGTGAGGATTTAAAAAATCATTAGCAAAATGAATCCAGCAACATATTAAAATAATTTAACATAATAACCAACTGGAGTAGAACCAGAAGTGCAGACGTGGTTTAACATTAGAAAACAATTTCTATAAAACAAAAACAGATGGCTATCCTCCCTCACTTCAATTATTTGACATTGTTCTGGAGGTTCCAATTAGCACAAATAAAGACGTAAAGTTGTTTAGTATTTGAAGATGATATGATTGTATGTAAGAAAAATCCAAGATTCCAAGTGGAAAAGTTGTTACCAAAAAAAGCAAATACAAGTAAGTAGGCTGGATATAAAATTAATATACAAAAATTGATGGCTTTAATATCTAAAAACAATAACTACTTCTAACGAATAATGGCATAAAGTACCAAAAAATCAATAGCAATAAAAAATAAATCTCCAAGAATAAATATTGTAAGTAAATAATTAACAAGATCTAAATAACAAACAGATTTAAATACTCTTGAGGGATGTAAAATGATAAATAAATCAAAGTATAACATATTCTTAGGAAGACTAAACATTAATAGAAATGTTATTTCTCCTTAATCTATAAGTGTACGGAAATCTTAACTATGAGATTTAAATGATATAATAAACACACGAGAGTAGCTAGGAAAAAAAAAAATCTGGGTAAAAAAAAATTCAGAGTATAATAGGGACGAGCCCAAAGAGGAATTAAACATTACAAAGCCAAAATAACAAAAGCAGTGTGGCAACAGCACATGAAGAGATAATCAATGGACTATAATAGAAAGTGCAAAAATGAACCCAAAAGCACACAGAAATTTATATTATGGGCACCTCAAAGCAGCAAGGAAAAGGTGACTGATGCAATAAGGAGGGCTGGCACAACTGGATAGCCATTTGGAAAATTGCTTCTGTCTTACACCTGGATAAATTCCAAAAAGATTAAAGATTTCCTGAAATATAAAAGTGTTTAAAAAAGCCATTTGAAAATCCTTTCAAAATTTCAAACTGGGAAAGATGTGTTTATGAAACATCACCTAAAAGAAAAACTAGATAAAAAACAATCTAGGTGAAGATTTTTGCAATTAATGATATACATAATGCTTAAATATCTCTCAAATGTGTGAAATGTATAGATCCCATGCATACTCAGCATGACAGTACCTCTTCTGCAGCGCCTTTGTCAAAACAATGTGTTAATTATTTTCACTGTGCTCATAGGTCAAAACTAATATTTCAACGTTGTTTAAATTCATGCTATTTATTTTTAATTAAGGCTCTGCTTTCACTTCGGGGAAAAAAAAAAAGACTATTTTCCGTATTTTATGTTGCAAGTGTACACAAAGCTTTGATTACAGTAGCAATACTCCCCAAAATGGAGTTAGACTAAGCTGGGTCCTGAACCCAGCCCTATCGCTTCTTCAATATGTGTCTTTGCAGAAATTAATGTCACTGACCTCGGGCATCTTTATCTATAAAAGAGTACTAGTCATATCTACTTCACAGGGTTTTTGTTGGAAAGAAAATGAGATAGCAATTGTGAAGTTCTGGAAACACAGAGTAGGGACTTCATGTGTGTTAATGTTTTTTACCTCTTTTCTTCCCTTGCCCTCATACCTGGAGCATGGACGGTCCCATTCTTTCAAAGGGCAAGCTTACCTGGATAGCTAAGAGAACCTACTCATTTTGCAAATGGTGAAACTGAGGCCATGCAGAGACATTTCCAGAGAAACATCCCACACAGACATGGACAATGACAGTTTCCTCTTATCCCCCCGAAGGAGCCAAAACCACGAGTCACTGCAAAAACCTCCAACTCCAAACCTCAACAGGTTTTACCATGTCCTGTGAAATCCCATCTATCCACAAGATATCCAAGGTGGTAATCCAAGAGTTAAAAAACAGCCACCATTTTTTTTTTTTCTAGACTATGTCCTTTTGAGAACTGCAGAACTAAAACAAACTGTATAAGCAAGTTTGGAAGAGTTAATGCTGAGAATGTCTCTTGGACACAGCACAAGGGCTCCACCTTCAGCTTTAGAGTGAAGAGGAATTTTTCAAAAATTCCACTGTCAGAGTCCTAAGAAAGCAGACCTGAAATATAATCTCTTCTCATAAAATTTAAACTACACAACCTTTCACTTTTAAATATTTCAGTCCTGAATATTTATCTACTGCCCACAGGTGAAATGAAGAGTCTTATAATGTGCAATATTGACATTATAGTGACAAGATTTAAAAATGTATTACATTTTCTTTAAATTCTTCAGAACATACATTTTCACGTCATTTTCTTTATAGTTGCAGCAAAGCCTGATTAGCTCTTTCATTTTAATTCTCCTATGGTTTCACTCAATTGGACTTAAGTTCTTCTAATAAAGAAAAAGGTTAATTCTTGCCCAGTAGATTTATTTATAAATTACCAGTGGGTTTTGAATATTCCAGTAAATACATTGCAGTCTTTGGAAGAGAATTTTTATATTGACAAAGGGAAGCAAAATTCAGTTCTATTCAAGGATGTTGATTGGACCTTGAACATTAAAATCTACCAGTGGGCAGTGGTAAGGAATACAGCATCTAAAAACAAACTTCCAATAGAGTCCCGTAATTTCACAGAATGAACCTCACAAATATAAGTTGAATTCTAAAGCGATTTATGTAATTGCATTACAGAGTGGAAGATATTCCACTTTTTTCAGCTACATATTTTACAGTGATATATTTTTTAAAAGGTGACAAAGTGCCAATTGCTGTACAAATTGTGGCATATAGGAGGGAAATTAGTCATTTTTCTACATTAAAATTAGTAGATATAGATTATAAGCAAATGTAAATACAGACAGACACAGATTGAATCTTTCAAATCCTGATCGTAAGTGTAAACTTTTTGCTAACTTTCTCCATCTTTTTTCCTCTATCATGCTCTCAGATTTCTAAGTCTTAGTGAAAAGTCATAAATATTCAGGGTTATAGAACTGTGTCTCAGTAAAGAAAATTGGAAAATTAAACTTACATCTTAAACCTCAGAAAGTTTCTACATGCCTTCTAATGGTTTCTTGAATTCTTATCTTTTTTTTCCCATTGGATTGCTTACAAAACTGGAGTCAGAAGTTGCCACAGAGAAACGTGATTTTTTTGTGTCCCAAAGACACTGAAATGAGATTACCGCCTCACCAAAGCAAGGATTGAAACCAAGCCCCAACTTCTGTTTTTTTCAACACTCAGGTTTCAAAGTCCTTGCCCATCTAAAGTTTCTTTTATAATGGTGGGGAGTTAAAATGTGTAGTGTAATTTCTATCCACTTAGCACCATGATAATTATTCTTAAAATGTATTCTAATCCTCATAATGACCCAGTGATAGTTGTTTTAAGATTCCTCATTTTATCATTAAGTAACCAAAGCATAAAGAAAGTAAATAAGCCCGAAGTTGTGTTGGTGCACCAGCAGGCCCAAACTCTTACTCCATATCCTCTCTACATATATCAACCACCACAACCCTCACATTAACCCCGTATGTAGGTGATTATCAAAACAAATACTTTTTGAGGCCAGCTGTGGTGGCTCAGCACTTAGGGAGGCCAAGGTGGGTGGATCACCTGAGATCAGGAGTTCCAGACCAGCCTGGCCAACATGGTGAAACCCCATCTTTACTAAAAATACAAAAATTAGCTGGGCATGCTGGCGTGTGCCTGTAATCCCAGCTACTACGGAGGCTGAGGCAGGAGAATCACTTGAACCCGGGAGGTGGAGGTTGCAGTGAGCCGAGATCATGCCACTGCACTTCAGCCTGAGTGACAGAGCAAGACTCCGTCTCAAAAAAAAAAAAAAAAGAAAAAGAAAAAGCAAAAGCAAATAATTTTTGAGCAATTTCTATTTGATAGACATTATGCCTTATGAAAATGAAGCACAGAAATGTTAAGCTGCCTAAGATATCAGAGCAACTTCACAAAAGTTGGAACTAGAAGTCATCCGCTGAATATCGACCCTAAAGAGCAAGCAGAAAGATTCAAAGTGAACAGGCTCTGGAATCAGAAATGTCTGCATTCAAATCCCAGCTCCACCACAGCCAGCTGTGTAACCTAGGTCGAGTTACCCAACATTACTATTCCTCAATTTTCTCTTCAGTTAGTTGAAAAGAACAACAGCATGCCAAATTTTTATGAGGATTAGAGCTACCATATAAAAAGAATCTGGTACAAAGTATGGATGCATACAAGTTCTTTATCATTTCAGAAGAAATAGGATCTCTTAGGCATTTTCCTCACGGTGAACAATTATTATAGGCATCTCAACTTTATTGACCTTGGCTTTTCCACTTGCCCAAACATAACAAATTTACTACCCTAAAAGAATTAGCTTTGACCATGCCTGTCCCCAAGTATCTAATGAAAATATTGGTGTAGGTACAAAATAAATGCTCTTGTTCTTTCCTCTCTTCCACCTCCTCTCTCTCACTCTGTCTCTCTCTCTCTCTCTCCCTCTCTCCGTCTCATACACATACACACACACACACACACAGTGTCTTAGTGCAAGTAGAACCATCAATGAGATTAAAATGTTTCACTAGATGGAAACAAGAGAAAAAATACAAACTCTAAAGAAAGATGCTGCATTGCTATCTTTCTAATGATAGAAGAATACCTCATAATGACAAATTGTTAAGCTAATTATTTTAATTTTTAAAAATTGAAAAATCATGATATTAATGTCTTGTAAAGGTTTCTCCTCTAATTTCATGCCTAATGTGAAAAAAGCCACATCATACATAAGCCTTTTTTAAAAATAAGAAGTCCAGAAGTTATTAGTAAGATATTCGTTACTGAACTAATATAAAGGAAACGTTATTCACCTCCTGCAATATCTTATCAAGACCATTCTTTAGGAGAAAAGTCCTAAACTATGTAAACAATTCAATTTTTCCCTACATCACGGCTCATCCAATTAATGCAGGATCCTTTCTCTCAGTCACGTTGCAAGCCCGGGACCCCCTAGACAGCAATACCCCATCTGGGTCTCACTCAGCCACACTGGCATGCCCAGCTCACCTGTGTTATAGCTTGTACCCATGCTCAGCAGTTCCTGAGTTCTTGTACCATGCCCAAGAAGAATGAGGATACATGGGACATTGAAGGGAGAAGAGAGAAGAATTTTATTGAGTAATGAAAATGGCTTTCAGCAGAGAGGGAATGGAAGGGTGCGGGGTATGGTTTCCCTGTGTGGCTGGGTCTGAGTCTTATAGACTCAGAATCTGGAGTGCATGCTGATTGGTCTGTGAGTATGCAAAAATGGTTAAAGCAAAGACACCATGCAAAGGTGAGCACAACAGTGTAGAAAACCATTTAGGAAAGGGTAGGTATATGTAAAATAGGTGAAAGGTGAGGACCAATTGGAGGAAAGCACACCAAACAGGAAGACAAGTTCTCAGTCTGGTCTGAGGAATTAACTTGTGGCTTGGCTTTCAGGCTTTAAACTCTTTGGCTTGGAGGTGGGGTTTCACTGGAATCCTACCCCTATTTGCCTATGCATTTGGCTGCCTCCTGCTGCTCTCACAATTTTAGAGCTGTAAAATATATGAAGAGATTTATTCTGAGCCAAATGTGAAGACCATAACCCATGACACAGCTACTACCAAGAAAGGGGTCCCAACCCAGACTCCAAGAGAGGGTTCTTGGATCTCGCACAAGAAAGAATTCAGGGTGAGTCCATAGAGTAAAGTGAAAGCAAGTTTACTAAGAAAGTAAAGAAATAAAAGAATGACTACTCCATAGGCAGAGCAGCCCGAGGGCAGCTGGTTGCCCATTTTTACGGTTATTTCTTGATTACATGCTAAACAAGGGGTGGATTATTCATGAGTTTTCCAGGAAAGAAGTGGGCAATTCCCAGAACTGAGGGTTATTCCCCTTTTTTGACCGTATAGGGTAACTTCTTGACATTGCCGTGGCATTTGTAAAGTGGCATGGCGCTGCTGGAAGTGTAGCAGTAAGGATGACCTTGAGGTCACTCTTGTTGCCATCTTAGTTTTGGTGGGTTTTAGCCAGCTTCTTTACTACAGCCTGTTTTATCAGCAAGCCCTCTATGACCTGTATCGTGTGCTGACCTCCCATCTCATCCTGTAACTAAGAATGCCTTAACCTCCTGGGAATGCAACCCAGTAGGTCTCAGCCTTATTTTACCCAGCCCCTATTCAAGATGGACTTGCTCTGTTTCAAACACATCTGACACAGCCTCAGGAGGTTCTGAGAACATGTGCCCAAGGTGGTTAGGTCACAGCTTGAATTTATACATTTTAGAGAGACTTAAGACATAAGACATTAATACATGTGAGGTATACATTGGTTCTGTCCCATAAGGAGGGACAGCTTGCAGTGGGGTCTCACAGAACATAGGTAGACTCAAAGATTTTCAGATTGGCAATTGTTTGAAAGAGATAAGTTATTATCTAAAGACCTAGAATCAATAGAGAGGAGTGTTTGGGTTAAGATAAGAGATTGTGGAGCCCAAGGTTCTTATTATGTAGATAAAGTCTCATAGGTGGCCACCCCTACAGGCTAATGTTTCCTAGTCAGATCTTAAAAAGGTGCTAGACTCTTAGCTAATCTCTTCAGGATCAGCAAAAGACCTGGAAAGGTAAGGGGATTATCTAAGGAATGTAAATTTCCCCTACAAGAAATAGCTTTTCAGGTCCGTTTCAAAATATGTCAAAGAAATATATTCTGGGGTAAAATACTTTGATTTCTTTCAGGGCCTGCTATCTGTCATGTGATGCTATCCTAGAGTCAGGTTGGAATTTGGTATCTTATTGTTACTATTAGTCTTAATGTCTCTGTTTTAATGTTAATGCTGGTCAGCTATGCCTGAATTCTAATGGGAGGAGAGCATACTGAAGCATG
This sequence comes from Homo sapiens, assembly GCF_000001405.40. Taxonomy (NCBI): domain Eukaryota; kingdom Metazoa; phylum Chordata; class Mammalia; order Primates; family Hominidae; genus Homo; species Homo sapiens. The sequence goes on from NC_000005.10 coordinate 163,274,702, forward strand.
TCCAACCCCCCTTCCCATCATGGCCTGAACTAGTTTTTCTGTATCTTTGGAATCCCCGTGGCCCAGAGAAGTGATCCATTCAGTCTGTTGGGGGGCTTAGTATTTTATTTTTGGTTTACAGCTTGAAGAGTCCACTGAGATTATTTAGCCACTGCAGAAACTTCTGGAATATCTGCCTAGTTTTTCCTCCTCTTTTCTGAGAATTAACTTCCCTTAAATACTGGAGTAGACTTCTCAGCCATGTTTGTAATTCATGACCCCTCTCTATTTCGTCACAGGTATGAATTCCTGGATCAACATGATAAATCAGGTTAGTCTTGAACTTCAAACATGCTAGTTGGCCTCAGGGGTTAAACTAGAGGCTAGAGAAGCCATATTTAATCAAATTCGTCACAAAGCAGGGGAAGGAAGTATGGGAGAAAAAGAAAATAGACTTAAATCAAGTTTAGCCAAAAACTGTCTCTTTACATATTTTAAGTTTGGCCTAAAGGTTTTTCTGTACATTGTAAACTATAACAAGTAAAGGTGTAAACAGACCGTAGCCTACACTCATGCTAATCACCAAGTTTTGGCCAATCAAATATAGCCAACTGTTTGAATAGTGTTCAAATAAGGCAAAAGCCAACCTGTAACCAATCCAGCTGTTTCTGAATTTCACTTCCATTTTCTGTGCATAAATCATTCATTACTCAATTAAACTGCTTTAAATTTAATTCAGCTGAAGTTTTTCTTTTATCAAGACAAACAGAAAAAATAAGAAGAGAAAGTACATGGAATGAGAAAGAGGTCAGAAGAGAGAAAAAAAATAAAATGTCTTCCTTGCATTCTGACAATTTTCTACTCCCAAGTATCAGTAATTCATGAGACTCAATCACTTTCTGCTCTTGGTTTACATGTGATGCTCTTAATTATTTTGTAATCCACTTCAGTCACTCTTAAGTTAAAGTTTTTGTTTATGGCAACTGTGGAATTCAATAATTCAAACTTAAAATTAATTCAAACTTAAAACTGTTGGAATTTTAAATTATTCTGAGCCTTGAAAGGAATGTGGCTATGCAACCTGAGTCACACAGAATGCAGCTGCAACTTCTGCCTTTTTTTCTCTAAATAATTAAGACCAAACAGCATCAGAGATAAGACCTCTCAGATTATTATCCCTCCTCATGGTGGAGTAATAAAATAACCTTCCTTAGAATGTACCACTCTGTGACCAATTAAGTTGCAGTGGTGTATGTACTAGTCTTGTATGGAAAATGTTAAAATCCTGCTAACATCTCTATATAAATGAAACTTTAACTCTCCACTTAGGAACACTACCCCATTCTCTTGGAGTCCATTTCCAGGTGTCTAGCCTCAAGTTTAGCATTCCAATAAACTCTATACTTAATCATATTTTCTGAATCTCATTATTTAAGGTTAACACAACCAAATGTTCCCTCACTAAAATATTAGATCAATGCCTTCTTCTATTTTATAAAACAGAGAATGAGACCCAGAAGGGTGAAGTTCCTGCTCTGCTCATTTTCACCTACATAATTAGCAGAACTAAATTCAGTTCCTTTATTTACAACCGAAGTTCTCTTCCTACTACACTAATTTCCATTGAATGTTCTAAAATACTGAAATGGAAGTATGAGAAACCGAAATATCATACTTCACAAAAACCTAAGATCCATTAATTGTACGACATAGAAAACATTGCAAGTTAAACTATGATATGTTGCTAAGATGCAAATGATAGTAAGAGATATTCATATTTCAAATATATTAAAATACGAAATCAAAGGCTCACTTCAGAATCGGGGAAAATGGTAATATAATGGATGAAGTGAATTTGGGACAGGGCAGGTTGAAATGTATTAATCGTAGTACCAGTTGGGGAGGAAATGCATAAGTTTTTCAAATAGGAAAATGAATACTGTGATTCTTCCTGTTTTAAAATCCATTGCATATGTGTTGCCAATAGTGGAGAATCTGAGCCAAGTTCAGAGTACTTAAAAGATGAATGGAAAGGACACTCTCAAATCCTCTTCTTGATTGATGTCAAAGTCCTAACACTAAAGGAATGCGAGGAAAGAGATGGAAAATGTATAAACCCCATTTCTAGTCCTCATGCATCATTCTTTAATCAACGATATTTATTGAGTCCCCAGTCAGTGTTAGGCACCGTTTCAATACTGGGTCTATAGCAGAGAACAAAAGAAGTAAAGTGCTTCACGGAGCTGACATTGTAGTGGAGAAAACAGATGAAAAACAACAAAATTAAATTAAAATGTCATAGAAAATGTCAAGTAGTACGCAAGTTCAAGAAAATTAAAGCATAGTAAGGAGTCATTCCCTCATGAAACACACAATATAAAAATGAGTCTCACATACATGAAATAATTTTTCAAATCCTTTGAGACCGTAGGTGACTAAGTGTCCAGGTAAGTTGTTTGGACATTTAGTATAGTAGAATTCAGAGAGGTCCTCTCAAGGCTCTCTTTTGCCTTGACCTTAGATCTAACAACGGTGTCATTTGTTACTTAATTCAAAGACGTGGACCTTGATACAAAACCGCTACTCTCTGCCAAGGTGGTCAATCCAGCAAGTGGGAACCAGTTGCATGTAAACCCTTCCCTTGATTTCAACAGAGCATGTGGGACCACTCACTCTTGCCTTTGTTGCTCTATAACCAAACCTTCAAATATACCCTAAGGCAAGCTTGGAGGCATGAATTTGTGATCCCTGTCTCACAGTCAGTGTCCCCCTGGCCTCCCTCATGTCACACTATGCTTTTCCTCACCAGTAAATACTAACTCTTTCTAGATGGTTGTCCAGAAGGTTTTCTTCATTACCATTTAGAGTAGTACCATGAAATTCCCAGGAGGGCCACCTGAAGCTAAGTCCTATCTCTCCCATCATGCCATCTGCCCAAGGTTTAACAGGGATTATTTAATTATGAATTGTAGAGAAAATAAAAATCTGAATTTCTCAGAGAGCTTGAAGTCCTTTCTAGGAATATTTTTAAATTTTTTTCATTAAAAAAAATTTATACAAATATTTATTAGTCTTCCAAACCTTCAAGCAATAAAGACAATGAAAAGCATCCTTGTTCCCATAACAGCCCAATCTCAAATCTCCTTAGAGGATTATTTTCAGAAGCAAAATTAAAACTACAAAAAAATCAAATGAAAATTTGAGAACTGAAAAATGCACTATTTTAAATCAGAAAAAATTAGTGGATAGGCTTAATAGCAGAATGGAGACGAAAGAAAGGGAAACTGAAAATGCAGCAATAGAAATTTGTGTGTCTTGCTATATAGTAATTCTGTGTATTATTTATTAACAAATAAATAAACATAAAGGGAACTTTCTATAGGTATAATGTTCTGTAACCCACTTGTTACTCAGACATAAATTGTAGATACTATCTTTTTCTCTGAGTAGATACAGGTGTCATGTTCTTCTTAATGGCTATATATAAGTTTATTGTATGGAACTATGGTAGTATGTTAAACTATCACCATGTTAATGAGTTTCTTTCCAATTTTCACATAATGATGCAACAATTAACATATACACACTTACTTGATGCATTGGTGTGTTTCCATAGAATATATTCCTGAAATTTGAACTTTTGGCTCAAAGGAAATGTACACATTTGAAATTTATCAAGATCTCCATATTGACTATGAAAAAGACTGTACTAATTTGCATACCACTATCTAAGTGGGGACTGCCTATTTTCCCATATATGCACCTAAATTGGTTATCATTTTCATGTTTGAATGTCTGATCACTGAAAAATATTACATCATTATAATATTTACTGAAAAATTATGGTATTTCTCACAATACTTACTCCTTTTAAAATTAAAAAATACATTAATTTGCTCAGCAGCAATAGAAAAACATTAATTAAAAAAATTTTTAAACTTCATATTTACCCCTACATATAGCTTATGTTAATGGTAGAAGATTAAGAAAATAAACACTTAAGGAAAAATGGAATATCAGGGTACATGTGGTGCCAGCCAAATGGAGAACTTGATACAGGTTATTTCTCTACTGTTACAACTAAAAACTCTGAACAGATTGCCAAATGCACTATTTGAGAATTCTGAAAAGTCAATAATAGCAAATGAATTGAGGACTAAAGTGAAAATTTAAATGTTGGCCAGCAAAGTAAGACTCCAGTCACTAGGAAATTCATAATGACAGTGAAAGCTAAAAGTCTGAGAGAAATGCATCTTTCTGGCCAAAGGTATAAGGAAAACAAACCACTGGAAGTTAAGAGTATGAAAGAAATCCCAAAGAGGAAAGAACCGGAGAAGGGGATCCTGTGTATGAAGTGACATAAGTCCTGGGCTTACCTCCAAGCTGTGCATGTACACAACAGACTCAAAGAAATCAACAAAGGCTTTAAGAAGTGAATTGCCGTATAAACCACTGGTCCAGCTGAAGACAAACCCCTAAGATGCACATGTGCCAAGTAGACTCAAAAAGCATAAGACAGGCCTGGAAAACTGAAATGATATTGGAACCACCAGCCTAAGAAGGAGAATCAGAACTTGTGGTCTGAACCTACCTAGCCAATTGCCTGCTTAAACAATAAAGAAATAAATAACATTCTGCAGAGGATTTAATAGGACCTAGAATCTATCAACATGATATTAAAAATATTCTGGATACAAACCAAAAGCATTCAACATACAAAGAAACAAAATTATCTAACCAATATCTAAGAAAATAGATACTCAGCAGATACCAAGCCTGAGATAACCCAGATGTTGGGATTATCAAAGACCTTAAAGTAGCTATTATAAGAATAATCCATTAGATAAAGATAAACACATTGAAATGAATGGGTATATAAAAGTTTTCAGAGCAAAATTAAAACTATAAAAAAGAATCAAGTGGAAATTTGAGAACTGAAAAATCAGAAAAATTTACTGGATGGGCAAAATAGCATAATGGAGATGAAAGAGAAAAGAGCCAGTGAAATTGAAGACGGAGCAATTGAAATTATGCAATTTAAAGAACAGAGAGGAAAAGACTGCAAAAACTAAAAAAGCCTCCAACCTGTGCAACCATATCTAAGGATCTAACATGTTACTGGAGTTGAAGAAAGGAGAAATAAATTGGTGTAGAAAAATGTTGAGGAAGAGCATCAGGATAAATAGCTAATGCATGCAGAGCTTACTACCTAAGTGATGGGTTGATAGGTGCAGCAAACCACCATGGCACACATTTACCTATGTAACAAACCTGCATGTCCTGCACACATATCCCAGAACTTAAAATTAAATTAAAAACAACAAAAAGAAAAAAAATGTTATCAAGAATCCTGTCATCCAGATATAATCAATTTTAATATTTGATATAAACATTTCAAGGCTTTTTTTTCATATACATAAGTGCACGTGCACACACACACACAGACACTCTCACTCATATATCCTGGGATACTGCAATATCTGCCACTGGTAAATTGTTTTTTTCTTTAATAATATATTGTGAATGCTTTTCTATGACAATAAATGTGCATCTTGTACAATAATTTTAATGGCTGGTCAATAGCTCATTGTATAATGTAGCCATAGTATTTTATTTTATTTATTTATTTATTTATTTGAGAAGGAGTCTTGCTGTGTCGCCCAGGCTGGAGTGCAGTGGCATGATCTCAGCTCACTGCAACCTCTGCTCCTGGGTTCAAACGATTCTTCTGCCTCAGCATCCTGATAGCCATCATATTTTAAATTCAATAACCTACCTTTGCTTAGCTTCCTTCCCTTTTTCTAGCCATTATAAAAATTCTGAACTAGAAATACCATTTGACCCAGCAATCCCATTACTGGGTATATACCCAAAGGACTATAAATCATGCTGCTATAAAGACACATGCACACGTATGTTTATTGCGGCACTATTCACAATAGCAAAGACTTGGAACCAACCCAAATGTCCAACAACGATAGACTGGATTAAGAAAATGTGGCACATATACACCATGGAATACTATGCAGCCATAAAAAATGATGAGTTCGTGTCCTTTGTAGGGACATGGATGAAATTGGAAATCATCATTCTCAGTAAACTATCGCAAGGACAAAAAACCAAACACCGCATGTTCTCACTCATAGGTGGGAATTGAACAATAATAACACATGGACACAGGAAGGGGAACATCACACTCTGGGGACTGTTGTGGGGTGGGGGGAGGGGGGAGGGAGAGCATTAGGAGATATACCTAATGCTAAATGACGAGTTAATGGGTGCAGCACACCAGCATGGCACATGTATACATATGTAACTAACCTGCACATTGTGCACATGTACCCTAAAACTTAAAGTATAAAAATAATAAAATAAAATAAAATAAAGAAATAAACTTAAAATACAAAATATAGAAAATAAATAAATAAATAATAAATAAATAAATAAATAAAATAAAAATACTGCACTCAGTCTTATTCCTAAATCATTTCACATTTCACGCCATTATTATTTTCTTCATTCATATTCCTAAAAATAAAATTGCTGTGTGATCCGATTTGGATATTTGTTCCCTCCAAATATGCTGTTAAAATGTAATGCCCAATGTTGGAGGTGGGAGGTGGGAGGTGTTGGATCATAGGGGCAGATCTCTCACAGATGGTATTGCACCATTCTTGCAGTAATGAGCAAGTTCTTACTCTGAATTCATGAGATCTGGTTGTTTAAAAGAGTGTGGCACCTCCACCTGCTTTCTCTTGCTCCCACTCTCCCCATGTGATACGCCAGCTCCCCCTTCACCTTCCACCATAATTGAAAACTTCCTGAGACCTCACCAGAAGCAAGGCAGATGCCAGCGCCATGCTTCCTATACTGCTTGCAGAACCATGAGTGAATTAAATCTCTTGTCTTTATAACTTACCCAGTCTCAGGTCAAAGACTTACTCTGTGTAAGAGAGTATTCATTTAACCAGTATTTACCCAACAAATATTTATTTAGCATTTAATATAAATTAGGTACTGCCAATATGTGGAAGTACTACTTTCTCTGAACCTTTGCCAAATCTAAGGTTAATCAGCAACAGTTGGTCAATCTTGAATGACAAAACTAAAAAATATGCACATATTGAGTTTCTATGGAACAGTTAAAGTTGGTCTCAGTGGTACAGTGATGGTGCAAGATCAAGTCTCCAAAAAGCTATTTAAGAAATAATGGAGTCATTAAGTATTAAGAACACAGAAAACATTGATTTTTTTCTTGTATATTTTTTTCTTTAGTTAAATAATGGAAGTGTCTTTTAGCAGCAGAATTGGCTCATATCAGAGTTACCCATTTTTTCTCAATCAGCACAAAGGTGATCCATATACACTGACAGCCCCAATGGACGGATCAGTGCTACAATCATCTCTGTATAAATTGGCTATAATTATTGAATCATTTCTACCAAATAACCACTTTTACAAATTTTAAGATTGCTTTCTGAATATTTTATTAAAGGTTATTGACTATAGATTATGATTGCCTGAATGCTGATTCCCAAAAACTTAATCCATTATTCCATATCCCTTTAAGAATTAATCTTTGTGAAGATAAACTGGGCATGGCAGAAAAGCATGGAATACATTATCAATGTAAGATATTCTTATTCCCTAATTGGAAAAGTAATCCTCAATTATTCTGTGATCACTCCCTCCTGTGTGACCTTACTTTTTCATGAATATACTACTAGTATAGTATGTTAAACAATTGTAGAATTATACTCTTGGAAGTCTGTCTTCCCTGGTATACATTGAAATGCCTTTGAGGGCATGAAATTGAGTCATACTCATTTTATTCTGTTAGTTAACTCAGAAAAATGCTAGATACAGGTATGCTGTTTTTTGTTTTGGTTTGTTTTAACATATTTTGGTATTCTTCTTCACTGTGAATGCAGAAGATATCCCACTTAAAAACAAAGCAAATTCGGCCAGGTGTGGTGGCTCACACCTGTAATCCCAGGACTTTGGGAGGCCGAGGTGGGCAGATCACGAGGTCAGGAGATCCAGACCATCCTGGCTAACATGATGAAACCCCGTCTCTACTAAAAATACAAAAAATTAGCTGGGCGTGGTGGCGGGTAGCTGTAGTCCCAGCTACTCAGGAGGCTGAGGCAGGAGAATGGCGTGAACTCGGGAGGCAGAGCTTGCAGTGAGCCGAGATAGTGCCACTGCACTCCAGCCTGGGCCACAGAGCAAGACTCCATCTCAAAAAAAAAAAAAAAAAAAAAAAAAAAAAAAAAAAAAAGCAAATTAAAACAACCTCTGGTTGTTGCCAGATAAAATACAGGACACCCAGTTAAATTTGAATTTCAGAAAACAAATTTTTTTAGTATAGGTATGTCCCAAATATCACGTTTATCTGAAATTCAAATTTAACAGGGCATTCGTATTCTTATTTGCTAAATCTGGCAACCCAAAAATGAATGTACTAGAAATAACTGGAGATTTCCTAGAATATCCCTAAAACCAGAACAAAGTTTTTCCCTGGCCTAGGAAGTAAGATACCCCAAAATCTTCGTAAAATGGAATGTGGGACTTCTGAGCTAAGAACTCACTAGAAAGATGTAAAGTGGGGCTAGATAGCCACTTTATCAGAAATGCTGTACAATAAGTGCCTGCATTGCTTAATATATTGGACAATATCACTTCTAAGTCTTGACCTTTTTGTGCATTTTACTTTTGCTTTAATTTCGGGAGTCCTTTTTGCTATCAGAGCTAGAAAATCTTGAACTTTTTAATTGATTTGTCTCCACCAGTGAACTTGGAACCATGCATCTGTCTTTCAGGAGTCAGTTTCCATCCATTGCTCTGAAACACCACCCTAGTGGGTATTCCCAGAAAAGCACCTTTGTGAGAAAGACCAGGTGTGGAGGTCACAATATTTACATCAATGCACAACAGCCAGACTCCATTTCAGATGCTATTTTATTCACCACAAGATCATTCTTACTCAATTACTTTTCCCAAACTCTCAACTGCTGCCAAGGTTAATGCAGGCTCTGACTCTGCCTGTTGATTCATATTAATTAAGCCAATCCATGATCTTGTATCACAGTGTCTGTTTTTAATATAACCTATTTGATGAGGCTGTATTAATTTAGGAGAAATGTGCACTGGCATTCTGGCCTGCACTCTTCTTAATTATCTTACAGTCCCCATTCAGCAGCATTGAAATTAGACTGTGGTTATCATAGTTAATGGAAGCCCTTAGCTCCTAGCTAAGTGATCTCCATCAGTCACCTGATCTTTTCTTGCTCTCAGCTGCATAAACATGATTGTGCTATCTATGCACTCCCTGATGAACACATAATTTGAGCGAGGGTGTGAATGTTTTAACAAAATCTCCTGCTTAGATCCTCAGGACAACAAGATGGCACTCCATTCTGGTACCTTTCTCTAAGTGGAAGGATAAGATTGGAATGACAAGCCTATGAAAAGAAAAGTTACACAATAACAGGGGCTAGGTAAGGTGAAGCTGGCTCTGAGAATATGCAGGAAACTTGAAACATGACTCTGCAATTGTGCGTTAAAGATCAGATGGGGCTGAGCGTGGTGGCTCACGCCTGTAATCCCAGCACTTTGGGAGGCCGAGGCGGGCGGATCACGAGGTCAGGAAATGGAGACCATCCTGGCTATGGTGAAACCCCGTCTCTACTAAACAAAATACAAAAAAATTAGCCAGGCGTAGTGGCGGGCACCTGTAGTACCAGCTACTCGGGAGGCTGAGGCAGGAGAATGGCGTGAACCCGGGAGGCGGAGCTCGCAGTGAGCCGAGATCGCGCCACTGCACTCCAGCCTGGGCGACAGAGCGAGACTCCGTCTGAAAAAATAAAAAATAAAAGATCAGATGGTAGATTCTCCACAGAAGGCAGATAAGGGCATCAAAATCCTCCATGTGTTTCCTCATGCTGCTTTTGAGCGCTACAAAGTCAATTCCACATTGTCCACCTTTCTCTTAAAAACTTGATGGAAGGCTGGGTGCGGTGCCTCATGCCTGTAATCCCAGCACTTTGGGGAGGCCGAGGCAGGTGGATTAGTTGAGCTCAGGAGTTAGAGACCAGCCTGGGTAACATGGCTAAACCTTGTCCCTACAAAAAATACAAAAATTAGCTGGTTGTGGTGGCGCACGCCTGTAGTTCCAGCTACTTGGGAGGCTGAGGTGGGAGGATCACTTGAGACTGGGAGGTTGAGGTTGAATGAGCCGAGATCATGCCACTGCACTCCAGCCTGGGTGACAGAGTGAGACCCTGTCTCAAAAATAAAATAAAATAAATAATAATAATAAATAAAATTATAATTTAAGAAACTTGGAGTTCCTAGTCAAAACTACTAATTCCTGCTCTGTTTCCATTCACTATGTTCATTCATTCATTCATTCATTCAACAAATACCTACTAGATACCAGACACTGTGAAATGCACTGGGGAAAAACCTGTGAATAAAACAGAAATAGTCACTTTCTTCATGAAACTTCAGTCTAGTCAATGAGACAGGTAATTAAACAAGTTAATTAAAATCAATAATTATAAATTGTGAAAATGCTGAGAATAATACAATAGGGTGCTCTTATAGATAATGACAAGGAGGAACCAAGTTTTGAAAGGGTGTTTTGGGAAGGCCTCCCCAAGGAGATGACACCTCAGCTGAGACCTGACTGACCAGAAGGAATCAGCATATAAGAACTGAGACAGCACAATCCAGCAAAGAAATAGCATATGTAAAGGTCCTGAGGCAAGAATAAGCTTGGTGTTTCTGAAACCAAATGTAGGCTAGAGTATCTGGAGTTAAAGCTAGAAGAGAAGAGGAGCTGAAAATGTGACCCTCTATAAAGCCCTTCTGCCACTGGAATCTAGGATGTTAGTGGTTGTCTGCATCTCTTTCCTCTTTTTCCACCGAATAATACCCAATTTAAGAGCAGAAATGATGTAATGTTCATTTTTAATTACCAACAGTGTCTATTATGATGCCTTGTGTAACACAGGTGGCCAAGAAATGGTGGTTAAACTTATATTGACTTAAATGTACTATGAATTCCAATTGTATCTGTAAAAAGAGAAAGCTGCTTAGTCTCTGAAAAACTTGCTAATTATAACAGTTAATATTTATTAAACCATTATTATTTACTGGGTGCTATTCTAAGCTACTTATACATATTCATTTCCTTATCATGTGCAAAAACCCTATGAGTAGATATTATGTTTGCTTTCATTGCAAAGGTGAGAAACTCAGAAGCTGAGAGGTCAATTAACTAAAAAAGTGAGAGTATAATTGGTGTCTGAGCCAGGATATGAATCCAGAGAGTTAGTCTCCACAATACATGTCCCTAAACATGATGGTAATGCTCCTAGTGTCTGAATATGAAAACTAATTAAGCCATTGAGGTACATCAGTACTTAATGCTCTGGGATTTATGCCAGGTATACGACATGTTATGGAAGGTACATACTTAACCTGAATATGTAACATGTCATGGAAGGTACATACTTAACCTGAATATATATTACTCAGGTTATATGAAATATACCTTTAATACATTTCCATCTCTCTGTATTTTTGGTTATAAGAAAGGATTATCTATTCACGCTTCAAAAGGTTTGAGTGTTTCCATAGAAACTGCTTTTCCTTAAATTTTCGAGATGGCTCTCAGTTCGTAAGACACTCAGCTATAGAAACAGTAGAACATTTCTCAGTCCTACCAACCATACCAGCCCCAAGGGGTAGCTCAGGGGAATTGTCCATTTTTCTCAATATTCTCCATCTTCTTTTTCTCCCTCTTTCCCCAAACTAACTCAAATACAGAATCTAAATAAAATTAGTGTGCCTGCTGTGCGATATAGTTTTAGGACAAATTTTCTAGTCTCCTCCCCAGCTACCAGCTTGCTTCCCCTGAAATGCTTTTAAATGAAGCTCTGGTGCATCCCCTGCCCACTGATGATGTAGGAGAGACCCATTGCTGAGAAGACTCCTGTTCTTTGATTATTGCCTTCTTTGGGGACTTTTGCCTAGGATATAAGGTGAGGGCAAATGGAAAACATATGAATGGTATTTAGAAAAGTAAGAATGTCAAGTTTTCTGGAAAGGAATGAGAAGAATGTACTGATGTTTTGATAAAGCAATTCATCTGTCCTAGAAACTCAAGCCTCCATCATCCTTTTATTCATAGCACTTAGCACGGCTCCTGGTATCCACTAAGTGCCCAGTAAATGTTGGATAAATGTATGAAATCTCTGGTCCTTTGAGAGGTAAATGTATGAGAGTAAGATGGTAGGAAACGTATAGAAATGTCATAAGACTATTTCCCCAATGACTCCCAAACACAGCTATCTCTAACTCCTTTTGTACATACTACTAGATCAACCCAATCAGCATCCAAGATTATCTTTGCAGTTGTTTTGAAATTGTCTAATTTTGTGATCAAGCCTGTTAACCATGCACTGATATATATGTGTATACACACACACACACACACACACACACACACACACATATATATATATATAAAATTTAGGTTTATGTACCATCTCCCCAAGTAGATTTTAAATCATTGTGGTATTATTTCTCTTTTCATTGCCTGTTACATACATATCCTTTTACGAATACAGTATTGGGCAGAGTGAAGAGGCTCAATAATACTCACATGTTAGCTATAGAATCTGAAATGGTGGAGAGCTTCCTGAGCAGTCTTTTTCTTGGAGTGTATACCATTTTGTCACTCAAATTGGGAGAATTCCACAGAAATCTCCCATTCAGGCCAGCTCATCCCTTTAATCCCAGCACTTTGGGAGGCCGAGGCGATTGGATCACATGAGGTCAGGAGTTCGAGACCAGCCTGGCCAACATGGTGAAACCCCGTCTCTACTAAAAATACAAAAATTAACTGGGCATGGTGGCGAATGCCTGTAGTCCCAGCTACTTGGGAGGCTGAGGCAGGAGAATTGCTTGAATCTGGGAGGCAGAGGTTGTAGTGAGCCGAGATCACACCACTGCACTCCTGCCTGGGTGACACAGCGAGACTCTGTCTCAAAAAAAAAAAAAAAAAAAAAAATCTTCCATTTACTCTCACTCAATAAATATTTAAAAGGAAGGAGGAAAAAAGGGAAGGGAGGAAGGGATGAAGGGAGGTGGGAAGTGGGGAGAGGAAGGGAGAAAGAATTTGGAAGGAGCTTTCAGTTTGAGAGAAAGAATTTAGAAAGAGCTTTCAGTTTAGTGAGACTGAAAGAATATGGGTTTTGGAGTAAGATCATCTGAGATCTAATAATGTGAGAATTTTGGCAAATAATTGAGCTGTGTCTCTTTCCCTAAATTATGGACATTAATACCTTTCTTAGAAAATGTATATAATGCTATGAATTTTAAAGAAATAGAACTCTTTTAGTTTCAAGTGGGATGAATACATCCAGAACTAGCTGAAGCTTAAAGAGGAATACTGGGGTGCTCACAGAATCCAAGGGGCTGGCTGAAGGATCAGGGATGGTACAGAGCCCTCAGAGTCTTCTAAAGCTTGAGAATAGTGTAGATAGAAAAACCACAGACTCGACATTTTAAAACAATGATTAATATTATCCATGCAGGGATAAAAGGAAAGAGGGAAACAAAGACCACAGGTGGACAGTTTCATTGTAATCTGAAGTAGAACTAGGCTAATTACCCAAAGAAGTCATTATGTGTGTTTTTCCAAGAGCCACCTTTTTCTATAGTTAGAATTTGCTTATAAAACAGGGCAGTAGTGGGCAAGGCAACCTTGTGACACAGGGAAGACTGAATGGGTCCAAGTGAATCTCCTCTGATGTCTTGCTAACCCTTGGCCAATGACCGCCCTAGGGCCACCCAGATGTCATCCTCAGATCCCTGCTGTGTGGGCCTCTCTGCAACATGACAGTTGGCTTCTTCAAAGAAAGCAGAAGAATTTCTTTCATTCTTCAAATCTCTCCTTTTAGAAAAATCATGCTTACTTCTCCATCTATCTTTTGGCCTCTGCTCCCACAGTTACCTGAATATTCATACAAGGCTTGAATCTAAACTCTAAAAGAAAAGATCCGATTAATCTCATGACTTGTCAGTGGGCAAGACTTTTCCATTAGGATAATACTACTTGGTCTACAGACCCCTTGGAACTACCACATAGAAAACAGGTTATCTTATGAACTGCTGACTAAGAATCAGGTGTTCATTTCAAATCCAATTTCTTATGGTCAGGGAGGTTGAGTGATAGAGATTTGTGTAAAAGAAACCACTTTGGAAATGGAATGTAACAAGCTTGGATTAATGAGTACACTGCTCTAACCAAAGGATAATTTCATAATGTGGCACTTAGTGTTTTTCTTACACAAAAGGTTTTGCATTTATTCTTTCATTTTATTTTAATATTTACAAAATTCTCATATTTGTATAAAGAAGGTATTCTAATCTCCATTTTTAAGTAGGGAAATTTAAGTCCAGCAAAACTAAGTCATTAATCCAAAGTATAGTTAGAAAGCCTAGTCCATATTCTGTGACTCAGAATTGTTACATTTTTGCTTTTTTTTTGCTACATTGCATGGTTATCATTGTCCTCCATTGCCTTCTTTTTGTATTGTGCTTAAAAAACAAACCTCTTTTGCTTTTATCATCTCAAAGAGAACAACGGCCAGAGAAGACAAAGATAGCAAAAAAGGAAGAGAGAATACTGCTGCTGTCTCAAGGCCTGTGGAAGGAAGGAGAATCTTATAATCAGGTCACATGCCAACTAGGATCAATTGGTAGGGGAATCCTGAAGCTCCATGTTGAGAATTTCAAAAGCATATCTGGGCTGGGCGCGGTGGCTCACGCCTGTAATCCTAATACTTTAGGAGGCCAAGGCGGGTGGATCACAAAGTCAGGAGTTAGAGATCAGCATGACCAGCATGGTGAAACCCCGTCTCTACTAAAAATACAAAAATTAGCCAGGCGTGCTGGCAGGTGCCTGTAGTCCCAGCTACTCAGGAGGCTGAGGCAGGAGAATCTCTTGAACCTGGAAGAGGGAGGTTGCAGTGAGCCGAGATCACGCCACTGCACTCCAGCCTGGGCGACAGAGCGAGACTCCATCTCAAAAGAAAAAAAAAAAAGTATATCTGGGTTCTCCTGGGTGGAGGGAAGGCTTCTGGTTAGATTAATGATATCTAGGTGGAGGAGATGTTTTATGATTGCTTGGTGATGTCCTCTATGGCCTCTAGAAATATCAGCAGAAAAGAAAGATTATTTAGCATGCCAGGCCTGAGCTTTATTATGTCAACATTGCTCACCTGAAATTATGGCACCAAATATATTATTCTGCTGCTTCTAGTAAAACGAGGGGAAACAACTGTTGAGAATGGATCTGTTTGGGAGCTAAATGTATTTAGGGTGCTTTCTTTTTTTTGTTTTTTGTTTGTTTGTTTTTAGTTTTTATTTTAAGTTCAGGGGTACATGTGCAGGTTTGTTATATAGGTAAACTCATGTCACGGGAGTTTGTTGTACAGATTATTTTGTCACTCAGGTACTAAGCCTAACACCCAATAGTTTTCATCATTTAGCTTCCACTAATAAATGAGAACATACAGTATTTGGTTTTCTGTTCCTGCGTTAGTTCACTTAGGATAATGGTCTCCAGCTCCATCCATGTTCCCACAAAAGACATGATCTCATTCTTGTTTATGGCTGCATAGTATTCTATGGTGTATATGTACCACATTTTTTTTATGCAATCTGTCATTGATGGGCATTTAGGTTGATTCCATGTCTTTGCTATTATGAATAGTGCTGCAATGAAAATTCATGTGCATGTGTCTTCATGGTACGATGATTTATATTCTTTTGGGTATATATCCATAAATGGGATTGCTGGATCAATTGGTAACTCTGTTTTTAACTCTTTCTGTATGTGCAAATTAAGTTAAAGAATGGAACTTTACTTTTCTTGTAAAGAGAAATTATGTATTTAGAATTTAGGGATGATAACCCTTCACAATGGCTGGCTTTGGTTAAAAGGATAATACTGATGACAATGATGATGATGATAATAAAGACAGCAACAATACTAACATCATAATACCTAAATATAAACTCTCTACAGAGAAGAAAGTGGATGAGGGAGAACTGACCTGAAAGATTCGCACACAGGCTGTCCAATATATAAAATATTTTCAAACTTATGAAAAAATAATACTTTGCAACTTGTTTTTACCTCTGTAGAAGTGTTGAAGGGCCATAGGGAAATTAAAACATCATCCAATTTTCTTTAATTGAAAAATCCTTAACCAAGATAAATAACTGTCCTTGCACAGAAAGAGCACTGCAGATGCAAACATTTTTTCATTGTTTTAAATTATGATTTCTAATTTGGGAAGGTGTTTGCTATTTTTGTCTTATTTTGTGGCTGTTTATTATTATTATTATCGAGCATCATCTCAGAATGTTTCTGCTCTGGGAAACAAATTGAAATAAAACCTCATTTCAAATGATCAGTTTGAAAGTCATAGAAAAAACAAGGAAGTGTAACCAGTGATTTAGAAAGCCTTTCCTGCACCCAGATCACCATAAGCCCAGACATAAGACAGGGTTCAGAAAGTCGGGAAAAGCAGGCAGCAATGTTCTGAACACTCCATGGCAGAAAACGAACCTGAAGACCACATAAAAAACACAACTATTTTGCCTATGAAAGGAAAAAAAAATAGGTACACTTATTTTTAAATTCAGATAAACTGGAAAACTATTTCAAAAAACATTAAAATGGAGAAAAATAAACTGACAGTAAATCAAACTTGTGCATCATGGAAGAATTCCACAGGGATTGATTCAAGACACTTAACATCTCATATTAAAACACTTTATACACATACACACACAGAGACACACACAGTCACATTAAGAATATATATATTCTGGTATATATAGATACATTCTAGGATATATATATTCTAGGATATATATATAAATTCATATATATGTAAATATATACACATATATATTTTAAGAAGACCCTCTGTAAAATGGAAGCACGAGCAGGCACAGTATACTCATATGTCTTATTAAAACAACATGGGACATTTAAAATTGGGCTTGCCATTTTTCTGGCAGGAAAAGAAATTTAGCCAATTTAAGACTGAAAATTAAATGGCACTACACATATATATCAAGCAGAAAGTAAAAGAGAAATGAAGTAACTGAGTCCAGGAATTTCAAACGGAGCTCACTTAAAAAAGAAAGGGAGAAAAGAGAGGCCAGAAGCAAAAGAGTCTAAGCACACGAGTGGTAACAAATGTGTAATAAGTGTAGAATAATAGCCTCTGTCCTGAGGTTAGGTCTGACTCTAGGTTGGAGGCAGAGTGGGTGAGGGTGGTCTACAAGGCACAATATGTGTCAGACAGACCAGAGGCACACATTCTTGTCAATGCCTATGCTTCAGGCCCCTTTTCTAGATCATAGCCCTGAGATTCTAACAACCTCTGGATCTCTCTGAACAGAACCTCTAATAGATCCCTATTCCACTAGATCCTGGTCTCCTGACCTAGGCTTTGTGTCTCATTCACCCAATGCACTAGACCCTGTATTTCATCTCTGTAGATTCAGGGCAAAGTGTGTTTCTCCTTGTCTTAGAAGGCTTTTTTAGTCTCAACATTCTTCTTACTCATTCAGGGTTATTATGCCTGCTTGATCCCCCCCAGCCATTGGTTACCGCTCTATAACTCACTAACTGTCTGCTCTGGCCACAATATCTATCAATGAAATGCTATGAAATGTGTGACAAGGTGGAAGGAAGTTTTAGAGTCACACAGATCTGGGTCCATGCCTGCTTCCCCACAGACTGTAGTGTGAGCCTTCGCAAGGTCCTTTGCCTCTGTGAGTTTCAAGTTTATCCTTGCAGAGTTATTGTCTGGATTTACAATAATTTTTAAAATCTGACTCACTGGTACATCACATATGTTCCAAATTGTAGTTACTATTATCTGAATTACTAGTTTGACATTTCATTCCATCCTATTATCTTCTCCTTTCTGATCCTCTGCAAAACTAAACTAAAACACCTGTCTTACTTTTCACTGATTCATTCATTCCAACATTATTTTGCTGGATGCCTACTAGAATAATGAGGCTCTGTAGCAGGTGCTGGAGATTCAGCAAGGAGAAACAGAGAGATACAGTGTCTACCCTCATCAACCTTTTAGTCAAGTCAAAAAGAAAAACAACAAAAGCACAATTGCTAATTGCTATGGTAATAAGTACATGAAGAAAACCTACAGAGGATCCTAACCTACTCTAGGAAAGGGGAGGTCTGAGACAATCCTAAGAAAAACTCTTCTTAGGACCTAAACTATCAGTAAACTGAGTTACTCAAAACAAAGAGAGCAGAAAGCATCCTCAAGTGTAGAGGACAATGTATGTGAAGCCCAGCAGTGGGAGGGATTTGGCACATTCAAAGAACAGGAACAAGTGTGGCCAAAGTACAGTGTTCGGGTGACAAAGATGGTCACTATTAAATATAGAAATAGCAAATGGGTCAAATCTGAGCCATAGAAGGAGTATAAAAAGAAACGATTCTCAAGCCTTTGAATTACCCAATGAGCCAACGAACAAAAGAAGCACAGAATCTCTGAGACGCCTCAGTTGTTGGTACAGGTTCCTTGCATAGAATTGAGCTGTAGGTAGTAAATGTCACAGCAACACTGGGGAAACAATTGTGTCCCAGGGAGTCCCTGCCTTGTAAATATATCTCAACCTATTTTAGGGATGTTTTAAGGTAGCAATTGACAACTAAATAACTCTTAGCTACCATGTGTCAGGCAATATCATAATGTTCTAGCTACAAATCCTTCCCACTGTGTGCCCCCATAGAAACCTCTTTCTAACATTTCACAAACTTGACTGTAAATAACCACTTATTTATGTGTATTCTCATATAAACTGAAACTGTTATCTCCAGTGCCTAAAACACAGGGACACAAATTATATGCTCAATAAAAAATATATTCCTATATTTTCTCCCATGCTAGGAATATCCTTTCCCTCTCACTTCGTTTTATGATGAATAACTTATCTTTTGCATATACAGATGGCCTTTCTGTATTTTCATAAAACTTCACTCATCACTGCACCTACCCACCTGTACTGTCATTCTCTTTTTTTTTTTTCTCTCTACCCTACCAGATAGAAACCTTCATAAAAGCTCACATCTATTCTATTGTAGTCACTATGGCCCTAGGACCAGTATAAGATGCTTAATAAATTCGGGTTGAATTAATGTGTTGAATTCATGAAAAATGAACTTGCTCACAAGGCTTATAATATATCCATTTTATAGACAACAAGATCTGCCCAGTCAGCAAATTCAGGGCAGCACTAGATTCAGAACTCACCAATCCTGAGTTATTACTATGAAACTCATCCTGTTGAATTTGGCTAACTTCCTATGACAGACATTAAGGATTGGTATTTAGATTTTGTTTGTTTGTTTTGTGTTGTTTTGTTGTGTGGAAGGAAATGTTTTGGTATTAGTATCAGCTATTTCAAAAAAAGGAAAGGAAAGGAAAAACATAAAGGCATAGTATCCTAAGCACTTAGAAAAAGGTCATCAAGCAAGAGACAGAGCAAGACCTATTCACGGAGAACAGAAAACAGCAAATTAATTCTAAGGCTCTCTGGAGGCTGAACACAAGTGAATGAAGGTTAGCAATGCTACAACATATGCAATAGCCATGAGTGTGGACTTGTTCTTTTAACAGAAAGATTGATATAATACTATCTGAGCAGCATTTGCCTAAGTGCCCTCCATGGAACATTATCTGTGACAGTGCTATGGTCAAGTAGGTTTAGGCTTCATCAGCAATTAACACATGTAATGGTGAAAAACTGGTTACACATTGTTTAATCTCATGCTTTCCAAATGAAATTAACTTGAAAAAGCTTTTTTCTCCACCCTTCAACACTAATTAATACTTAGAGAAAGCAATATTTCTCAAAACACCCTTTGGAAAACACTTGCATATGTAGTAGAAGACCGGAAATGGACAGAAGGGAAAATCGCTCCGAAGAGTAATACATACCAGTAGGTCTCTAACTGCATGTAAATACAACAGCTTTTGTGATGGAGCATTCTCTCATTACTATCTTCAGTTCTTCTACTTGAGATAGTTCTGTGCCTCTTAAAATCAAGACAAATTCAACCAAAAGAAGGACTTTAGGAGACGATAGTCCCCCAAAACTGAAATAAAGCTTGTTTGTAAAAAAAAAAAAAAAATGGAAGTTCCAACAACTTTAAAATATGTTTCCATTGTTAATAACAACTTTTAATAGATGCATAGCCTTCAGCAACCTCATAGTCTGTTTTTTGAATGCTTTGTACAGGATGTGCTGAGAATTTATTTTTCTCCCTCACTGCTCTAACTTGCTGTGGCATTGCCTTGTCAAACACACAGCTAATGATATTTCTGGGGATTTAGAGGTAGGACATACAGAAAGGTCTACAGGAAAACTGACAGTCATCAAGTCCGGAGGACATGAACTGTGTAGGTAACAGACATGGTTTCCCATGATTGCACTGCAACTTTAAAAACTTAGTAAAGTAATCCAAAAATGTATGAATAGGGAAGAAAAAAGGAGTTGTAAAACATCCTTTCTGAGATGACTTTTAGCATTTTCAAAAAAGTTTTGAATTTATAGTGCATCAGTAACAGAGTTCTTTTAATGGCAAGTTTCAGGAATTTTTTCAAGGTATACTGAATATTTATTAAGCATTTTTGATGTCACAAAATATGCTACAGATGCAAAAATGCAAGGAACTGTACTACGGAAGTTCACAGCCAAATGGTGGAAATAAACTTAGAGTTAAATAATTGAAACACCATGTAATGCATGTCCTAATAAGATAAGCTCACAAAGATTAGCATAAGGGGACAAAGCGATTTACAAAGCTTGGCACAATAGGGTAAGGCTACGGTCACAGAGAAGATGCTGGAGTTAGGTTCTGAAGGCTTAATAGGAGTCTGCTGGGTGCACATATTGGAAAAGGGCTTTTTTTTTTTTTTTTTTTTTGAGATGGAGTCTCGCTCTGTCACCCAGGCTAGATGGAGTGCAGTGGTGCGATCTCGGCTCACTGCAAGGTCCACCTCCCCGGTTCACGCCATTCTCCTGCCTCAGCCTCCCAAGTAGCTGGGACTACAGGCACCTGCCACCACGCCCGGCTAATTTTTTGTATTTTTAGTAAAGACAGGGTTTCACCGTGTTAACCAGGATGGTCTCAATCTCCTGACCTCATGATCCACCTGCCTTGGCCTCCCAAAGTGCTGGGATGACAGGCATGAGCCACCGCACCCGGCTGGAGAAGGGCATTTTAAGCAAGGGAAATCACATGAGATACATGAAAAAACCCAGCCAATTCAAGAAACAGAGGCAATGAATGTTGCTTATTTTATTTTTTTTCTTTTTTGAGACAGGGTATTGCTCTGTTGCTCAGGTTGGAGTGCAGTGGCATGATCTCACCTCACTGCAACCTCCACCTCCCAGGCTCAGGTGATCCTTCTGCCTCAGCCTCCAGAGTAGCTGGGACTACAGGCCCCTGCCACCAGGCCTGGCTAATTTTTATATTTTTAGTAGAGAAAGGGTTTCACCATGTTGTCCAGGCTGGACTCAAACTCCGGATTTTAAGTGATTTCCCCGCCTTGGCCTCCCAAAGTGCTGGGATTACAAGCATAAGCCACCACTCCTGGCCAAATGTTGCTTATTATTAAAAGGCAAGTATGGAGAAAGAAGGAAGCAGGGGATGATATAGATCTACTTGTGCTCTCCAAAGATGTGATAATAGTTTTAACCATTCTAGAAAATATTTGCAAACCTTGCATCTGACAAAGGACTAATATCCAGACTCTACAAGGAACTCAAACAAATCAGCAAGAAAAAAATAAAATAATCCCATTAAAAAGTGGCCAAAAGACATGAGTAGACATTTCTCAAAAGAAGACATACAAATGGCCAACAAACATATGTAAAAAAGTTCACCAGGCACGGTGGCTCACACCTGTAATCCCAGCACTTTGGGAGGCCGAGGTGGGCGGATCGCTTGAGGTCAGGGTTTGAAACCAGCCTGGCCAACAAAGTGAAACCCCATCTCTACTAAAAATACAAAAATCAGCTGGACATGGCACACACCTATAATCCTAGCTACTGGGGAGACTGAGGCACAAGAATCGCTTGAACCCGGGAGGCAGAGGTTGCAGTGAGCCGAGATCCTGCCACTGCACTCCAGCCTGGACAACAGAGTGAGACTCCATCTCAAAAAAAAAAAAAAAAAAAAAAATTGAACATCACTAATCATCAGGGAAATGCAAATTAAAACCACAATAAGATACCAGAATGACCGTTATAAAAAAGTGGAATAACAATACATGTTGATGCTGATATAGTAGAAAGGGAATGCTTATACACTGCTGGTGGGAATGTAAGTCAGTACAACCTCTACAGAAAACAGTATAGAGATTCCTTATAAAACTAAAAGCAGATCTACCATTCGATCCAGCAATTGCACTACTGGGTACTTACCCAAAGGAAAAGAAGTTATTATATAAAAAAGACACCTGCACACTTATGTTTATCACAGCACAATTCAAAATTGTGAGGAAGGTGGGAGGAAAGTGAGGGATGGAAAACTACATTTTGGAAACAATGTACACTACGTGGGTGACCAGTACACTAAAATCCTAGACTTCATCACCATACAATTCATCCATGTAACCAAAAGCCATGCTAGTCCTAAAGTTATTGAAATTAAAAAAATGTAAATAATAATTTTAGCCAGTTTATATATCTGTATATAAACTGGTATATATGTCATCTCATATAAATATATATATATCTTATATATAGTATCATGTATATCTTACATATATATATATATATATCTGTATATATGTCTGTCAAGTAAGACTTTTTTTTTTTTTTGAGGTAGAGTTCTGCTCTTGTTGCCCAGGCTGGAGTGCAATGGCGCTATCTCAGCTCACTGCAACCTCCACCTCCTGGGTTCAAGCAATTCTCCTGTTCAGTCTCCCAAGTAGCTGGGATTACAGGCGTCCACCACCATACCTGGCTAATTTTGTATTTTTAGTAGAGACAGAGTTTCACTATGTTGGTCAGGCTGGTCTCGAACTCCTGACCTAAGGTGATCCACCCACCTCAGCCTCTCAAAGAGCTGGGATTACAGGCGTGAACCACCATGTCTGGCCTCAAGTAAGACTATTTTTTTTATTTGAAAGATAAATGTGTTAAGAAGAGCCTAACAGAGTTAGGCTCATTGTGTTTTGCCTGTTTCTCACTACTCTTTTGTGTTTTGCCTGTTTCTCACTACTGGACACCATGAGTTTCTGAGTGAAACCAGAATTCGTTTCTACCAAAAATTCATCTCTACCAAAAAAAATTTACTTTTTTGACACAAAGTGGCAGATGCATGCATGGAAGAAAAAGAAAGCAACAGGCCCAAAACTCTGTTACACCTTTCCCGCAAGCTGTGAACCCTAGTCATGGTGTTACAAGCTGAACTGGTGGAGGCTCCCCACAACACCACTAAGTCAGTCTCATGAAAAAGGAACAGTTGTCAGTGATTCTGTTAAAGTTCTTTGGTTGCAAGGAAAATAAATAGAATCTGGTTCTCTTAAGGCAGAAAGGAATGCATGGGAGGAGCAAGGGACAGCCTACAGAAAAGCCAACACCCCAGACTTAGGAGAAGGCCCAAGAAGAGCAGTTTCAGTAATCACGGTTCATTGCAAAAACCGTCAGTCTCCACAAGACACTTCTATCAGGATAAAAAAACCCTGCAACTATTTTAGATCTTTATCATCCCCCTCAAGATTCAAACTCCAGGAACAGAGCATGTGATCAGGCTGGCTTCTGTCTCATATCTACCCATCAGCCAAGGAAATGCAGAGCACCAAGACAAACATGATGAGGGAAGGATAGTTCCCCTAAGCAAAATTGGGATGTGGATACCAAAATAAGAGAGAGGAGATGCTGAACACACAAAATCAATACACGCCCACCACAGTCCACACAGCATCACACATCTGGAAACTTATAAATAATCAGCCAACTCATTCACTGAACTTTACATCTTCTACACTTCTCAATCAGATCTGAGATGGAGGAGGTGTTACAAGAAGCATAGAGAGGTGTTAAGAATAAGGTCTAGCGAGGCAGTCCGAAGAGTTGAATCTTAGGTCCACCATTCACTAGTGGTGAGAACCCCAGCCAAGTTTCTTAACTTCCCTGTGCCTCAATTTTTTCTTTTTTTTTAAGAGATAAGGTCTCACTCTGATGCCTAGGCTGGGGTACAGTGGCACCATCATTGCTCACTGCAGACTCCAACTCCTAGGCTCGAGTGATCCTCCCACCTCAGCCCCCCAATTAGTTGGGATTATAGGCATATGCTGCCATGCCTGGCTTATTTACTTATTAGAGATAGGATCTTGCTATGTTGCCGAGACTGGTCTCAAACCCTTAACTTCAAGCGATCCTCCCACCTTGGCCTCCTAAAGTGCTGAGAGTTTTTTCATCTGTAAAACTGGTATGATAATATTAGGTGGGGGTCCTACAAGGGTGAGAGACTGGGAGGAAACAGAGGTGAAGCATAAAATGCATTTATTTAGTGCTCTTCTGGCATCTGATAAGCACTCAAGAAACATTAGTTACTGTCATCTAGCTGTCTGGCGCTGCGACTTGCATAGATAATTCTCTTCCCCCTTCTAAAGTGTCTTGTTTTGATTATTGAGTTTCCTCTAGATGCTCCTATATAACATCACAATATCATAATAGAAATTCAGAGTGAGAAGCGTCTTTGTTTTTCTTCCCTGCCTTGTTTCTCTCCTACCTGAAAAGAATAGTCAAGACTTCATTTAGATTTCAAACTAATGTTCTGTGACAATTGTTCAGCATGAGTAGCATCCAAAATATAATTCCAGTGATTTTTTTTCTTCTTTTCCAAAAGGCATACAGCTAAGGTTAATAGAGGTGCCACTTTCAAAATATATCTGCCCTGAGCAACATAAAGGGATTATTTAAAAGGGCACAGTGCATTGGACACACCCTGGTATTAAAGGCCTAGCAACTAAAATTAATTTTACAAGCTCCTACACACACCAATTTTCATTGACTCTGAATCTTCTAAATTATACTTTCCCCTTGTTTAGGGAGGTCTATGAAAATAAGTAAAAAGAAGAAAAATCTTTTCATTTGCAAACCAATGCAGAGACAGCACCTGCACCTTGTGAACATTTAAAGATAAATGACTTTGTCCTTTTGTTGTTTCTTTCTTCTTCATTTTTCTCTGCAGAGTTGATTGACGGCAGTAACATTACAAAAATAAAACACTGATTTCCCCTCATCAAGTCTCACTGCTTTTTAAATTATCTTGGATAGCCTTCATTTGTAAATACCTTATCTTTGAGAACAGATGCCTTTAAATTTCCTCTAGTATAGCTTTTACTGCATTTTAATCAAAAAACGTATCTCCAACATAAGTAAAATAAAGAAAGACTTCTGATTTTTTTTTTTTAAAGAAAACCCTTTTGTTATGGCCCTAACAGGATTCTTTTTTAACTTGTTCAAAGTTTAAAGTAGAGCATAAAGGTCTAAATTAGACTAAACATTTTTCCTTCAATTACACTCCTGGGATAGACATTTGAAATAAATTTCAAGCTAACAAATTATTGCTCAAGATGCTCTCAAAAGTATTTCAAAGTCCAAGATTATGTCTTCATTCTCTTACACTTGTTTAGAAGCTTACCTCCATTAAATCCTTTGAATTATTATTCAACAGCAGCCACATTCATTTACTCTTAATTCTGTTGGCTTAGTACTTCAGTGCATAATTTTACTTTTAAAGTTCTTTAAAGTGGCTTCATGCTATTTACATATTACATAATTCAAGGACTAACAAACCAAGATATTACAAAAGGGAAAATGTTCAGTTCTATAACTTGTTAATTAAGACTGCAGTACCTATGTAAAGACAGCCCTAGATAATCTAGAAGTCTCTAGAAATAGGAAAATTGTCCCATATTATAGGGGAAAGGGAGAAGAAAGCTGACAAATTTTTAGAGTAAATCCCAATATGACCTGATGTCTAACTTGGTGCCCCTTTTGCCCTTATCCCCTAAACCTTCTTCACTTATACCTACAATTTAAAAGATAGAAAAAAAAATAGGGGAATTTAAAGAGGTATCTTTGGTGCAGTTCCTCCTAACTTCTAACAAAAAGTCTCATGAATATTCACACATAATAACAACTGAAAAAGAGCTTAAAATAAAGTTGAACAGATACACTATTGCCAAAATCTGGGAGGAATTTCTCACAACTCTATGGCTTATGAAACTGGATAAAGAAAAAAAAAATTCCTTACCCATGCATGGGTTCATCAAACGGAACAACCCAGAGAGAAGGTAGGAAGACATTTTATTCCTCTTTCACCCTAGTCTCATGCCTGAGACATCCAGGATGCGTACCAATAAGAAAACTCAGTGAGCAGTCATCTAGTTCGAGAGTACCACTTTGGGATGTACGGTGAATAATGTCTCCTTATACACTCTCCCAACTGGACCTTGGGATTTCTACGGTTGTCCATCATTACCCACCTCCTTTGCAATTTCAAAGGAATCCCCAATTGTGTATCATATTCATTTCTTAGGGCTGCAATAATACATGAAAACAAACCAAATGGCTTAGAACAACAGAAATTTATTTTCTCAAAGTATTGGAGGCTAGAAGTCTGAAGTCAAGGTGTCAGCAGGGCCATGGTCCTTCAGAGGGCTTTAGGGGAAGATCCTTCCTTGGCTCTTCTCAGCTTTTGATGGTTGCCAGCAATTCTTCATGTTCTGTTCCTTGGCTTGCAGCTGTAGCACTCCAGTCTCTACCTCTGTCATGTTTTGGTCTTCTCCCCCTGTGTGTCAGTGTCCAAATCTCATCCTTCTCATAAAGACATCAGGCATTGAATTAGGACCTACCCTAATGATCTCATCTTAACATGATTATATCTGACCCCATTTTTAAATAAGGTCATCTTTCCAGGTATTTGAGGTTAGGACTTCAACATTTCTTTTTGGAGGACACAACTGGACCCACAGCTTGAGTATTCTGGTGTGAGATAACACCCTTCTGCCCTGTTTTTCAGAGAAAGGAGTCCTATTGTCCCACTTTCCAACCCAGGCACATGACCTAATTCCAGCTCACTGGATGCGTCCACTCCATATATTAATAAAGTTAGATTAAGTGACACAAAGGTAAAAGACCTTTACATTTCATTCCCAACTGCAGGGGTAATGCCCCCTCTACCATCCCAATACTCGTACAATGTCCTAACTTCTTCCAAAGTATTAAATCCTTTCTGGCTTAAGATAACCAGAGACAGTACTTGGTATTTGGGAATGACAACTTTCAAAAATATATAATTGGGTGACACAGGATGAGGGGCTGCAGAGGTGCATCTCTCCTAGAAAAGAATGTATTCTTAGAAAAGCTAAAAAAGAAAGAGCCTGAAAGAAATACATGCAAGGGTTATAATTTTTACATTTGAAATCCGCTCGAATGTGAAGTTTCCAGGCAGGAGGATTTAAGAACCTCAGTACTGAAATCTGTAAGGCATTGGGAAATGAGCTACTTTTTTGTGGTTGATTTGATACAAGAATTTAGCAAACAGTGAGAAGCGCCATAAGAAAAATACACAACCCTGCTGGTAAACATTATCTGAATAAAGATCTCCTAATTTGAGGATGGATAGAGATAAAGAAAGGCAGAGATTTCCTCAAAGAATGATATATGCAAAACATTAAGAAGAGAATATCATACTGAAGAATTAAAAGAGCATTACTCTGACAGTCATTTACTAGTAGAAATAGAGGAAAAATCATTACTAATTTTATAACACCCCTCAAAAGGATGCCAGAATACCTAACTTCTATGAAATAAGAGCAGAAAATCAAATGTAAACTAAGAAAGGAAAAACAGCATAATGATGTGGAGATACAATTTATTAAAATTTAAAAAATGGGCCGTGCACAAGGGCTCACGCCTGTAATCCCAGCACTTTGGGAGGCTGAGGTAGGTGGATCACCTGAGGTCGGGAGTTCGAGACCAACCTGGCCAACATGGCAAAATCCTGTCTCTACCGAAAATACAAAAATTAGCCAGGCATGGTGGTGCATGCCTGTAATCCCAGATGCTTGGGAGGCTGAAGCAGCAGAACCACTTGAACCTGGGAGGCGGAGGTTGCAGTGAGCTGAAATTGTGCCACTGCACTCCAGCCTGAGCAACAAGAGCAAAACTCCATCTCAAAACATAAAATAAAATAAAACAAAATAAAAAGTAAAATTTAAAAATGAAATTTAAAGATTAAAAGAATCAATGGAGACATTAAAGAATAGGATTGACGATATTGTGAAAGTTGGGCAGAGAGTTATTTTAGATTTTGTTTTGTTTGGCTTGTTTTTCCATCCAACTAAAGGGAAACACCTACCTGGCTGAAACACAAATAAAACAAAACAAGGATGGAATAGTGAGTAGAGCTGGTGACTCTCAAATCCTGTATTTACCATGCACCTCTTCATAGACTTATACAAGTAAGGTAAGAATCAAGTCAGAAATAAAATTTCTTTGTTTCCTGAAAAACTAAAAACTGTTGTATAAACTGCCAGTTTGTTTGCCATGTTTGTCTGATACTTTAAATAGCATAGGGCTTTAGATCTAAATGGCTCAACAGATCAATTTGGAGAGATGAGCCTAGCTTAATGCATATTTCCATGGAAATAGATAAACTACACTTCAACATACTGTGAAAAGATACAACACACTAAAGGTATCCTGGAAACCTCTTCTTCTTACACCACCCCTCTACCCCTAATGCATTCTCACCTTGTCCCATAAAATAGAAACTTTAATCAAAACTTCTACTCTCACTAGGAAGAACTTGACAAAAAAAAAACTTCCACACTTCTCTTCACCCCTTATTGGATTCTTTCCACAACAAGAGAGGTTATAAATGATTGAGGAGTTTTGTGATAGTCTGAAATCCATATACCTACTTTCACGTATTGAAGTTTTCAACTAGAGGCAATTTTGACTGCCAGGGGCATTTGGAAACGTCTCAAGAAATGTTTTACTCTTGTGTTTCAGGGTAGATAAGAGACCAAGGATGCTGCTAAGCACCCTATAACGCAGAGGACAGTCTGCCACAACAAGGGATTATCTAGTTGTCCAGACATGGTGGCTCCTGTCTGTAATCCCAGCACTTTGGGAGCCCGCCGCAAGTGCAACACTCCAGGTCAAAAGTTCGAGACCAGCCTGGCCAACATGGTGAAATCCCAACTCCACTAAAAATACAAAAATTAGCCGGCCGTGGTGGCAGTTGCCTGTAATCCCGGCTACTTGGGAAGCTGAGGCAGGAGAATCACTTGAACCCAGGAGGCAGGGGTTGCAGTGAGCTGAGATCATGCCACTGTACTCCAGCTCCAGCCTGGGCACCAGAGCAAGACTCTGTCTCAAAAAAAAAAAAAAGAAAAGGAAGAATCCTCTAGTTCAAAATGTCCATAGTGTGGAGGTTGCTACACCAGATGGAGACCTCTGCTTCTGCCTGACCCAGTTTCATGTTCTTTCTTCTTATGTTGCCTACTTCTACTTTCCATCTCATGAAATTTACAAAATAATAATAATTTAAATTAAAAAAAAAAAAACCAAGCAGGATCTTCTTAAATCATTCACCTTCACCTGACTTGGTAAGTTCATCAGCCTGAGGAGCAGAAGACTCTGCTTGCATGAGTCTTCAGGTTTGGGAAACAATCTCTCTTTTGCTTTAGCTAGTTTGAGTTGAGTCTCTATCCATCTACTCACTTCAAGGTCTGGCCATACTCTCTAAAACTGACTTCTCTGTGATTCTCCTCAATTTTTCACCACAAATTCCTGAAGTACATTTGAATAGATCTGTTTTCCTTGCAATTAAGCATGCCCTAAGACACATACACACTACATGTAGTTTAAAATAGCTCACACCTGTAATCCCAGCACTCTGAGAGGCTGAGATGGTAAGATTGCTTGAGCTCAGGAGTTGGAGGCTGCAGTGAGCTATGATGGCACCACTGCACTCCAGCCTGGCCTACAGAGTGAGATCTTGTCTGTAAAATAAAATAAATCAAAATATTAAAAAATCAAAAAATTATAATTTTTTGTGTGAACAACCTCAACATTTCACATCACCACACATAATTTGATCTTTCCTGAATGACTTAGAAGGCCCTTCAGAATAATGCAATGCCTCAGAAATATGTTCTCCAACACAAAGTATCATTAGAAGATAGATATTTTCCATTTGGCATAATATGAGTGGGGAGAATTTTACTGGCATTAGTCAAAAACAAAACAAAACAACAACAACAACAACAAAACATGACACTCTTCCCTTAGGAATCTAAACTGTGATTATACTCTGGTTTTCTCTGGTCTTTTGCCTGATTTAACTTTGGTAAAATACTATAAGAAAACACACATTACTAATATAGGTGTTATAAAACTCTAGTTAGAAATTACCTATGTCCTCTACTAACCTATCGTTCACAAAACACTTACTAAAATGTTGCTAATATACACTGATCCAGCACAAATCTAGGGAATAAATACATTATAACTGACCTTGTTAAAAATCTGATATTTTCATTTAAAACCTTACTGACATCTGTGTATATGTCTTTCTAAACTATGATTCCAACATGCTGCAGTTGATCTTTGACCTCTAAAAGGTCATTTCTTTCATAAAGATTTCAACCCCATTCAGTTATAACAGAGACTGAATCCTGAGTCCCCTGCCCACGTCTCCTCTGTCACACACATTCATGGGTATTTGGGGCATTAAACTATTGCTGGAACTACAATAGTTTCACTTCTTAAGGAGAAATCAATGTGAACAAATGGATCATGAAGAATTCTGGGTATTTAGTGTAAAAAAATTATATCAACCATTCAGAATAATACTGATATGTGTCAATTAGAAAGATAATGTACAATGAGATAAAAGGCTACCGGGAAAACTGTGATGATGGATAGGTTTTGTGCTTGATTTTTTATTAATATGACATCACACACTGACAGGAGTCCTTGTCTCTTCACATTTTGTAGCTACAGAAGAATCTTCAGAGGAGATGAATTTTTTTTTATTCCGCCTCCCCACAATCCTCTGAGCTTCTGGAGAAGCAATGTCAATTATACCATCATTAATGCAAATGGCATTTTAAAGGGTTTGTAAGGCAAACAGAGAACGTTAGTGCCACTCAGAAGTGCCAATGTGCACTGCAAATTTCCCCCTAAAGTCTGCAGCCCATCACTTGTCTTTATTCACTCAGATCTAATCCTATCAACTGAGGGGACAGGCCACTGGCCTGCTCTCTGCCTTTGTCACTCAAACTCACCCATTAAAAACAATCCATTTTCTAAAGCTGGACAGTGTGGAATACAGGTTTGGCAGCCAAAAGACAAAAATTCCTATATGCAGAGCATGATAATAAGGAGCCTGCTGTCTTTTTTGCTCCATGAGTTATTCTTATTAAGATAAAATGTGTTCCAAAGTGACTCAGAAACATGAAAATCAGCTAGTTCATAAAAAGTTATATGGGAGCTTAGGCTTTCAAATTAAGAAAACAAACATGATAAACATAATCCCAAACTCAGTATAAAAGTGTCCACTGCCACTAGAATGTCCTCCTTCTATTGTATTTTCTCGTGTTGTAATATTACAAAGAACCTTCTAATTGTGCTATCATGAGAATTTAGATGGCTTCACAGTTGAATCTTATCCACTAATCTTTTGTGTAACGAAAGCTGAATTTGTAGTAACAAAGCTTAGAAGTCAATAATTTACCTTCTGATGATGAAGTATCTACCCAGTAGAGGGCACTGTGCTAGGTAATGAAGGACATCAAAAAAGGGAAGATGGAACAAGGGGAAGATGGAACATGGAACACCCAGGTCTTACTCACAAGAAGTAATGGTGTATTAGAGAAGATACAATAAATAGAATGCAAGAAAAGATGTAAAAGCTGAAATGTCACAACAAAGCAATTCTGTATACATAGTCATTTTATAAAACTCAGAAAGCATTACAGACTCTAAAACAGCCCATATTGAGGCTGGCTGAGATCAGCTGATGAACCTTAACTCTTAGGATATTTACTTTATTCTCTAGGCAATGAAGATCTAAAGAAACTTTGAGAAGAGGGGTAACATGGTGGAGCAACAAAGGAAGATAACACTGTCAATGGTACACCTATTGCACTGATGGCACATGAATGCAGGTGGTGTGTGAACATGAAGTTGTATAATGTTGAATTGCACAGTGAAAAATATATTATATTTTAACTTTCTTTTAAAAAAATACTTAAAGGAAAAAGTCTTTGATTTGGTACTAATACGATATTAACATCTCTCCAATACTTGTTACTATTCAACAAAGAGAGCAGGCAATCACATCCACTTTGAATTCAATAATATTGTTTTTATTAAATTTGCACTTACTTTTACAGTTACCATCTATTTATGGTGATACTTATTTCCTCTTTATACACATATTGAACAAATAAAAGTTTCTATAAAATAAAATTAAAATTAGCCAATTTAATGGAAAAATCATTCAGTATGTGCAACTGAGTTAAATTTAGAAAACACATACCTAGGCTAGGAACTACTAAGCATTTTCTTTTTTCTTTCAGAGACAAGGCCCTGCTCTGTTGCCCAGTTTGCAGTGCAGTGGTGAGATCATTGCTCACAGCAGCCTAGAACTCCTGGGCTCAAGGGATCCTTCTTCCTTAACCTTCTGACTAGCCAGGTATGATTACAGGCTCTCGCCACCACACCCAGCTCTGTGTGTGTGTGTGTGTGTGTGTGTGTGTGTGTGTGTGTGTGTGTGTGTGTAGATAGGGCCTTGCTATGTTGTCCAGGCTGATCTCAAATTTCTGGCCTCAAGCAATCTTCATGCCTTGGCTTCCCAAAGCACAGGGATTACACACACAAACCACTACACCCAGCCAATATTTTCTTTAAGAAATACTTGTACATGTGCAAAAGAATGTTCAAATATGTTCACCACAGCATTGTTATAATAGAGCAGGGTCGCCAACCTTTTTGGCACCAGGGACTCGTTTAATAGAAGACATGTTTTTTCATGGACTAGGGGTGGGAGATGGTTTCAGGATGATTCAAGTGTAATACATTTATCGTGCACTTTATTTCCATTATTAGTACATTGTAACATATAATGAAATAATTATACAGCTCACCATAACATAGAATCAGTGGGAGCCCTGAGCTTGTTTTCCTGCAACTTGACAGTCCCATCTGGGGGTGATGGGAGATGGTGACAGGTCACCAGGCATTAGATTCTCATAAGGAGCATGCAACCTGGATCCCTCACATGTGCAGTTCACAATAGGGCTGAACCTCCTATCAAAGTCTAATGCTGCACTGATATGACAGGAGGTGGAGCTCAGGTGATAATGCAAGCAATGGGGAGTGGCTGTATATACAGATGAAGCTTCATTCAATTGCCCTCTGCTCACCTCCTGCTATGCAGCCCTGTTCCTAAAAGGCCACAGACCATGGTCCCGGAGTTGGGGACCCCTGTAATAGAGGAAACATGAAAACAAATTGAATGTTCCTAAATAGAGAAAAGGACAAATAAAGCATAGTACCAATATTCTAGAATACTAGGCAGCTGTTCAAAGGCTGGGAAGTATCTGCATGTGTTTATATGGAAAGAATACCAATTTAAAAAACGAGCAAACAGAAACAAACAACTCATAAAGCCATACATTTGGCATGATCCCAATTATGTTTTGAAATGTATACATATATAAGCAAGTGCACGCAAATGCACAGGAAAAGTAGTGGAAAAATAATTATCAAATAGTTAAAATTGTTCATCTCAGAAGAGGTAAAATATGGAATTGAAGGGGAGGGGAAAGAGTCACATTTTCTTTCATATAATGATAAATTGCTTGAATCTTAAATTCATGTCATGTCATATATTGTCATGTATTTTTGAATGACTGGTGTAATTTTTAAAATAATTAGGAAAACAAGAGAGACCTTCAGGTAAATTTCTATTTAGTTTACTCTTTCCCAAAACTACACTAAAACATCAGAAAAGAACTTTTTAAAGGGCACAAAATCATAAGGACAAACAAAAAAGAGACAACAGCAGCAAAATTTTTAAAGCTGGATGAGTGGTAACTGACTAAGGGGTTCAAAGAAAGCTCAATCCTAAACCAGCAGTGGAAGAAGCCAAGAAAAAAACAAATATGCTTTGCAGAATCTACAAAGTCTCTGGAATTGGCAACATCAGGTTCTCTGGGAATAGATATGAAAGTAAAATTAAAAACAAGAGAATTGTTTGAAAGACCGTTAAAGAAGTAGTAAGAGAATTCTGAGCAACAGTTACATCCCTGATTCCTTTCCTACTTCATTCAGCCAGTCTGTGCATCTTACCTGCCCAACAGGATAGAGGAGGCTAACTCTCTAGAGCAAATAAGAAAAGCTTACTTTTTTGTTAAGGAAAATAAAAGGCATAGGTAAGGGTAGAGATAATGTATGGAAAAGAGGGATTCTCCATCAGGAATTCCCTCAATGAAAAGACTCATTGAGATCAGTCCAGAAACCCTACACACACCCTCAGGAGATTCCTCTCTGCTGTTTATTGCCCCACTTTTGAGGGATCACCAACATCCAAAAAAAAAAAAAAACCCTTGAACATGAAAGACAGGGTTTGAAAGGAGTAAAAGTGACTTGGAGGGAACAGTCTTTACAGAGAGAATAAAACCTTAAATAAACTATCCTTGCTATATATTTTAAAGGTTAGACAAGCTATAATATATGTGAATACAACAATGTACTATTAATAAAAGAAGAAAGAGGGAGAGGTAAGAAGAGAAGAAAAAAAGAACACAACAAAAAAGAACTACTGAGAACAATTACATATATATATATACACACACATGTTTATGTTTATAGATGTATGTATACGGATGTGTGTGTGTGTGTGTGTGTGTATAACTCATTGGAATAGTTGAATCATTAAGGTGAGAAAATCTCCCAGAAACTGAACAAAAAGACCTCAGAGAATAGTTGTGTCTATATCTATCACGTACATGTGCTTTTTCCCAGAGTGGTCTGCTTGCAGCTTAGTGCAGTATATCCCATTTGTTCATCTTGATATTCCAGTTTCGCAGTTTCCTCTAACACTTGGCTTTCCACTGTCACCTCAAGGTCTGATTCCTTCCATAGAGAAGTTCCAGTTTGGGTTCCTCATTTTGGTTTTAAGTCCAATTTCCCAATCTAACAAATGTTAAAATGTAAATATCTTACTTCCCTGCTTTTGGCCCCAGAAGAGGGGGAAGTCAACTCCTATAAAAGGAAGGAAAGAAAGAAACTAGTGTTATTTCTGTCAGTCTCTTCCTCTTGTGTGTAAGCTGCATGACTCAGGGACTCTGCCTAGAATAGTACTGAAGGCAATAGAAGAGCATAAAAAAATATTTTGGAATGAATGAATGAAAAAACAAATATAAGCAAGAAACATACGGCTTTTAGAAGTGCCATGGTAACCTGGAAAAATAATGGAAAAAGTAATTTGAAAAACAGAACAAAACAGGAAGGCTCTGATAAGCACAGATTTTCTCTTTACACTTATTTGGAAAAAATTTCAAGGAAGGTGTCTGTAGAGTTAACTCCATTTCCCCAAGTCTAGCTCTAATCAGTCAATCTCTGTGAAGGCTTTCTTTACATGCATACCTGTGGACCTGGGATTCCCATCTATTATGTTATACCCTTGGAAATATCTCCTACATGGTCTTAGATCCCCCACTCTTGCCTCATTATAAGCATTTTATTTCCTTCTTGCTAGAAGTAGATGGTTTAGCAGGCTGTGAGTTATTCTTTTTTACTTAATGTTTTCTTAATTTTAGTGAGGTAATACATCCATGTAACTTTAAAGTCACAATCAGATGGTGGGGTAGGGACTGGGCCATTTGGTTGGGGAGCACCCAACTGTCAGCGTGTGTGGGTACCTCCTCCTGGGCATAAAAGGCCTGGCTGTCAGTATTCTGAAAGCATTTCAGAAGAATAGGAATGAGGTATCTCACCATCCAAGTTACAGATATTCAGCATCTCATCAGTACCCTAGCTGTACAAACCTCTCCAATGTGAAGCTCCCATTATCTACCAGGATGGACAAGGGACAGGTTCCAGGCTAGGAGGATTGAGAGAGATGATCTGGGAGTCTAAATGCTCATTACACCAAGGTTTAATAAATCCCTTGATTTTTACTTCTTTTCATGCCCCATTTTTAAAGGTGCCTGGTGTCTCCAATTGCTGAGCCTTTCTTGATTCTAGAACATCATTTTTTTTCTCTTACTGGCTTCATTCACTGCAGACTTTAGTTTCAGATTTTTCAAATTGGTTAACTCAGCTTCCATCTGCTTTCAGTTTCCAAAATGTTGTTAACGTCTTTCCTGTGTTGTCATCTTCTCTTCTGTTTCATTTTTTTAAATGAGTACATACTTTTTATTCATTTTGGGAGGTTTGGGAGATTGCAAAGATAAATGCATGTGTTCAATCCTCCACATTTAACTGAAAGTTCTTATTCAGTTTCCTTAAGCCAATGGCTATGTGCCTTTCTAAGAGACAAGTTGTATGTCTGTACTGAAAAAAGAAAATTTATACTATCCTTAAATCTCTTCTTAAAGGACTGTTTATTTAGAAATCGTGTGTCTGCTTCTTGGGATTTTATAAAACAACAGTGATACAAATGAGGAAAAGGAATGTGATGAGTGAGTGTCACCAAAGGCCCAAAATTTCTGTTTTCAGGAAAATAATGAAGGAAACGGAAAATTCCCTCCCCATAACATACACACATGCCTCCAAGATAGCCCTCTTTCCAAAACTGTAGCAGATTTGGTGTAGTGCTGGAAATCCATCATCCTTTGTTTGTTGATGTCCATGACTTGGTGCCACATCAGCTAAGGGGCAGAGACTTTTCAAAAAGTTGAAGACTCCCAACTTGCAGATGGCATGTGGGTAATATCTGGGAGGTGACTTGGCACTGTTGCAGACAGGAAGTAGATGGAAAATGAAGCCATCTGACAAGTCTCTGTCTCTTACAAATGCAAATGTCCTTCAATTTGTATTTCACTCAGGAACAAAGGATCCAAGTAAGACCTTCCCCACTGAAACAACAGCCTTGACCCCACATAAGGGACAGATTGGAGGGGCTTGCTGAATGTCAGTTTTGGTGCATTGATCCTAATCCTATCACATTTCTTGAAGTTAATTACTATGATATTCTACTAATGACACTGACCACTTTGTCTAGCATCCTGGTTGCCGGTACTTAGTCCTGATATCGCAGGTGGTAATGGTTAATATTGAGTGCCAACTTGATTGGATTGAAGGATGCTAAGTATTCTTTCTGGGTGTGTCTGTGAAGGTGTCACCAAAAGAGATCAACATTTGAGCCAGTGAACTGGGAGATGCAGACCCACCCTCAATCTGGTAGGCACAATCTAATCAGCTCCCAGCATGGCTAGAATAAAAGCAGGCAGAAGAACATGGAAAGACTAGACTGGCTAAGTCTTCTGTTTCATTTTTCTCCATCTGTTTTCTTCCTCCTGCCTGGATGCTTTTTCTCTTTCTCCTGTGCTGGATGCTTCCTGCCCTGGAACATCAGACTCCAAGTTCTTCAGCATTTGGATCCTTGGACTTACACCAGTAATTTGCCAGGGGCTCTCGGGCCTTTGGCCACAGACTGAAGGCTGCACTCTCAGCTTCCCTACTTTTGAGGTTTGGGGATTCAGACTGGCTTCCTGGCTCCTCAGCTTACAGATGACCTATTGTGGGGTTTCACCTTGTGATCGTGTAAGTCAATTCTCCTAATAAACTCCCCTTCATATATACATCTATCCTATTAGTTCTGTCCCTCTAGAAAACCCTGACTAATACCCAGGTCTCCCTATTTCTAGCTTGACTTCCTGATGTAAAGACCTCAGGACGTTTCTGTGCACTGATATATCTGATGGCTCACCCTGCCCTCACTGGCTTTCTTCCCTCTCTTTTTTCTGATTCATACCTAAGAAGTGTTTGCCTGCTGCCAGCCATATGTATGACAGTGTCACTCATGCTCCTACTTAAATCCCTTAGTAATCATAGTTAAAATTCATTTTTATGTTCCCACTGCCCTAAAAAAATTTAAAAATCTCATTGTAGTCAGCATGCAACATAAAGCCACTCACAAACCATCTTTACCTAAAAAGTACCCAAATGATGGTACTGTAGCAGGACGAGCCACAGACAAAACCTCTCAGACACTGAGTTGTAGAAGGAAGGGCTTCATTCAGCTGGGAGCATCGGCAAGCTACTGTCTCAAAATCCGAGCTCCCTGAATGCACAATTTCTGTCCCTTTTAAGGGCTCACAACACTAAAGATTTCACATGAAAAGGTCATGATTGATTTGAGCAAGCAGGTGGTACGTGACAGGGGCTGTATGCACTGGTGGTCATAGAGAAACAGAACAGGGCAGGGAGTTTCACAATGCTCTTCTATACGATGTCTGGAATCTATGAATAACATCGGTTTCTAAGTTATGAGTTGATTTTTAACTACTGGGTTTAGGCCAGGCAGGCCCAGGCCTGGTTTCAGGCCTGGCACCGGGCTGCCTGTCTTTGGTTTTACTTCCTTGATGTTTTTTCTTAAAACAGGTACTGAGTATAAAACAATATAAAACAATATGAGAGGGTCTCTCTCTTCCCTCATTTCCCCCCTTTGAGACTCTCACTTTTTATTAGTGGGAGTTCTCACTCTTATTTTTGCTACTTAGGCCTTTTTGTGCAATAGATTGATAGTGACTTATATAGTATGCTTGTGCTGAAGCATTTTGGTGAACTAAGGTAGCAACGAAGTTTTTTATCATTTGGAGAAATACAGGTATCTGACAAGAGAGCAGTAACCAGGTTCCTATTACTATTATTACTTTTATTATAAGAGTTTTAAATTCTCCTATTGCTGGGAACCAGTTTCCAAACATGGCTCCCGGATTGAGTCCATGCCACACTTGTACGGATACATGTGCCAGCCTTGTTATATCTTTAACTATATCCTCAACTACTTGCCCCTGATCATCTATGTGTAGACAACAATTAGTAAGGTTAAATTTTTCACAAACTCCTCTTTCAGCTGCCAGCAAGTAGTCAAGAGCTAGTCTATTTTGACAGATAGCATTTCTCATCAGAGTCTCTTGCCTGGCAAGAGAACAGTCAAGGCTTGACCGGTTTTATTAGTAATAGTTTTTAAAACAGCTTGGAACCATATGATTCAGCTGAGCATGTAGATGGAGGTTCGATATCCCCATGAGCCATCTTGTGCCCAAGTGGCAGGTCCATAGTATTATATGATTTTTTCAGGGGGCCACTCATCATCTTTCCAATCACCTAAGGCTATGCTTCGTTTTTCGCAGGAAGCATAGACTGGGAAGCCAGAAGTTTACCTGTTTTTATAGGCAGTAAGAAGAAAGATGGTTTAATGGTGCCAATTACGCAGCTACCTGTCCACTGATCAGGCAGCTTAGCATAAGCTCTGTGTCCACATATCCAGTATAACCTGGTGGGGGCCGTTCCAGTCCCAGTGGAATTCTGGGTGGGCCCAAACAGTCTGCAACTTTGGAAATTTACTGAATGGATTTCTTTCTGTGTAATTGGAACTCCACCATGTAACTGTTTTTGTGGTACCATTATATAGCTTTTGCCCAAGACAACTAAGCCACCCTACAGGATGAGTGAATCCTTTTCCTTCTCTAGCTATGCAATACTGTCCAATAATTGAGACTTTTAGAACCCAAAAATTGTCAGGGTGGTTCTTTTGGGCTGGGAATTCATCAGGAACTGGGTCTGTAGGAACCAATTCTTGGGCTTCCCATGGCCACTGATCTCCTGTTACAGTTCCTCCACAAACATAACGTGAGGTGACTTGTAGAGATTGGGCTACATGTTCGGCTAATTGCAAAAACAAATTTCTGGTTTTTCCTGGAGTCTCTGGTACTGGCACATTTAGTTTATCATAGAAAGTCTGAAATACTGGTTCTGGAGAGCGTTTCTGAACCTCTCCTTTTATTAGGATGCTTAAACTAGGATCTAGTCCTTTTCCATCAATGCCTAATGTTATATATTTTCCTTTATTTCACTTTGGGTCTGAGGGGTTTGTGATTACCAATTCTAAAAGGTTGAAGCTCCCACTCGTGCAGGAGGGGCTGACTTTTCCTTTTTGGAGCCAAATAGGATCTTTTTTATCTTCTTTTCAAGTAGCCCAGATGACACAAGACCAGTATTGACACATCTTACATAAATATGATTCTTGACAGATATACTTATTTTTTTTTACTGTGTCACTTTTTTAATCAATTTAGAGAACCACATCCTATTCCATGCTGCTTACTATCAATAGCAGCACAAGCATCAAATTTTAAGGTTACCTTTTTGGGGACCCCTCTTTCTTCTGTTCCAGCTATTACCTTACTTGTGTCACCTAGAAAAGGACCAGTCCTTAATTTTATTTTAAAAACTGTGATCATGGGAGGCTTAAAATGGGTCCTAACACGCAACAGGTTGGTTATTTCCTGGGCTACATATCTTGGATAGAATAGCATTATACAAACAAGTTTCTTTTAGAGTCCTGGTACACTTACAATAACCATAAAATAATAGGACTGTAGCAATCTTTTGTCCTACCTCAGTGACTTGATGTATATACTGGAAACAGTTCTCAGTCTGAGGAAGGTGAGTTGAAGTCCTTACTGTACAAGTCCAAATTTTAGGGAAAATGAGTCCCATGATGAGTTTTCTCATGTTTCGGCCGTGTGTGGACCAGTAGGCTTCCCGGTGTGACTGGAGCAGGGCTTGCAGTTTTCTTCAGAGTCACTTTGCAGGGGTTGGCGAAGCTGCTCCCATCCACTTACAGCTCCCAGTCTACTGATGTTTAAGGATGGTCTTGGAGGTTGGGCCTACTAGAATAAACTGAGTCTAATACTTCTACACAGTTATGTTTAACTGGGCTGTCTGATACTCGGAGCAAGGTGGCAGGGTTTAGGGTGTTGCAAACTTCAACAGTTATGCGGGGATTTTTACAGAGCAAGCTTTGGTATCTAGTTAGTCTAGCATTCATTAGCTAATGGTGTCCTTTGGTATTTATTAAAATCACCACAGCATGGGGGGACTTTATGTTTAGGTTTTGTCTAAGAGTTAGCTTATCTGCTTCTTGTGTTAACAGGGCCATTGCTACCAGGGCCCTTGGACATGGGGGCCAGCCTTTGGAAACCCCATCTAGTTGTTTTGAGAGATAGGCCACTGGCCTTGGCCAGGGCCCTACAGTCTGGTTTAAAACTCCAACTGCCATTTTTTCTCTTTTTGACACATAGAGTGTAAAGAGTTTTGTCAGGTCAGGTAGCCTCAGGGCTGGGGCTGACATGAGTTTTTCTTTTTAATTCATGAAAAGCTCATTGCTGTTGGTTGTAATAGATGTAGTTTATCTAATCTACATTTTTATTGACTGTCATCTACCAAAATATTGACTTAAATCTTGTAACTGTTTGATTTCAAGCTTTAAATTGATCTGGTATTCCTTGTGGGGCTCCAATTGCATCTAAATAGATATGAGGGTTGAAAGACCTATAAGGGGCTTCTCTCGCTTTACAATGTCTTATTTTTTTTTCCTTCCTCTGGTTGATGAAATGCCAGGGTGAAGGGATAGCCAAATGGACTAAAGCACAAGTGCCACTCTAGTTATTTGGCAGAGTGCCCAGTAAAGGTCCACCACAATACCACAACACACCCGCTCGGGGATGAACAAGGGCTGACTGACTGATAAGCTCTTGAAAATTCTTAAGCTCACTGCATCCCTTCAGGTCTCCAAGGAATGCTAAGTCTCCTCCCTGCCATGAGAGACACTAAGTGAACTTAGTGTTGGGAGACGGAAGCTGGATGGCCCTTGGGGGCTTACCCGCAGGGACTTCGGGATACAACAGAGACAGCTTGGCATGACTTATTACTCCAGGCTGTAGAATCCTGGAAAAGAGCTACCATGCAGCCCATGCCTGGTTGACTGAAGGACCACCTTAGTGGAAGGGGGACAATCAGGGCCTCTGGACTGCCATGTGCACAAGCATAACAATTGCTTTTGTTTAACGTGCAGATGGAATATTTGATCCATTTCAACCAGGCATTTGCATCTTGGTATGCTGTCTTAATTGCCAAAGTTTTTTTAAAGTCTTTAACTTTTATGATCTTCTAGTAAAATGAATGTTTCCTTTAGCACCAATTTTTATTAGTTTTTAGACCAAAGAGAGCTAAACACCATTTTATATTTAATAATGCTTCTTGTATGATTTTTATACCAGATAAGCTAAATTTTACCTTTATATTAGTGAGCTATTAAAGTTAAACAATTTTAGTAAAACCTTGTAGACATATTTATCCAATTTTTTTTATGTTTGACCATAAGGTAAGATTTTATAGACTCTTTTTAACCTTTTGTAACTTTTGTTAAAGAGCAGGTTGATGCTTTCAGAAAAACCTGTTGCATTTTTACTTTAATGTCCAGTTCACAGAAAAACTGGATGATACCTTTTTAACTTTAGTTAATATGTTTACACACAGAATTTTTTTTTACAATTAACATTTTAAAACTTGCTTAAACTTTTAAAACAATTTTTTTAACCTTTTAATGTAGGTAAAAATCTACAT
Organism: Homo sapiens; assembly: GCF_000001405.40. Taxonomy (NCBI): domain Eukaryota; kingdom Metazoa; phylum Chordata; class Mammalia; order Primates; family Hominidae; genus Homo; species Homo sapiens. The sequence goes on from NC_000005.10 coordinate 163,317,500, forward strand.
TCTTATGCCCCTTTATAATCTTTTTACCAAAGGTATATTTTATTTTTCTTATACACCTTGCACATAAACTATTTTTTAATAGTACTCGGGAGGCCTTATTACTTTTAAATTATACAACATTTTTCGCATAAATTTTTTTATAATTTTTTTTCATGACTTTGGCCAACAGTTCTTCAACATGTCTCAACTTTCTGACTTACTACAAACATTTTCTTTTTAAACAACCAGTTAATTTATTTCAGGACAAGAATTTACCATATAACACTCCTTTTACATAAATTCTGCCTCCCATTTTTTTTTTTTTTTTTTGGAACATAACCATTCCTTTTTTTAAAGGGAACTTTTTTTATGTCTTTGGACTAGACTGTCTAAGGCCACAAGATTAGAAGTTACCATAATACATGCTACACTGCTAACCTTTAGCAAACTTCACTTTTGTTGAAAACCTTGTAAGTTTGGGATTTCAATTATCCTTTGCTATTAATAAGACCTTGTTTAGTCTAAATTAACTTAGAATTGGTATAGATGGCCTTTTTTTCTCTCTGCTGGTCTTTCCTTGCCTTTGCCAGCCGCTTATGCTGCTGTTCTTTTAACTACTGTGGGGGGAAAGGGGGTCTAAAACCAGCTGTAACTGTCTATTTATAGAAACTGGTCTGGGTGCCTTGGCTTAAAGGTTACCTTGTGTCATACCTTTGAAACAAGGGACCTGTCCAGGCTTCCTTTTGATGGCCAACCCACCTCTAATGCTGGCCAGTCTATTTCACACAAAGTTCTAAGTTTTCCTGGTGTCACAGTAACACCGTACTCTCCCTTAAATTTTCTTGAAATTTTTTTTTAACATAGTTCCTAGTGGAGTGGGCTTATTTGTGCCTGACCCATGCTTCTTCAAGACAAAACACCACGCTCACACCACACAAACTCACCACAAGACAAAGAATGGGTAAAGAGGGCACATGCACACTTCTACCATTTATACCAAACCAAAATCACAAAATTCAAAATCCAAGTACCAAAAAATTCAAGCCAAGTCAAAACCAGAACCAAAGTATCCAGCAATTCAAGTCAAGTCAAAACCAGAACAAAAGTGCCAATACAGGCACACCATGGGTGATCAGGCCACGCTTCCACTCAGATGGAGTGGGGCAAGTTCCAAAGTCTAGTCTTACCAAGTCAAGCCAAGTCAAAACCAGAACAAAAGTGCCAATACAGGCACACCGTGGGTGATCAGGCCACACTTCCACTCCGATGGAGTGGGGCAAGTTCCAAAGACTAGTCTTACCAACTTTCAGATGTCCGGACTCCAAGTCCCAGTTCCTTCCGGGTATTCAGCCGCTGTGTTAATCCTCCACAGGGGCCTGTTATGTGCTGCTCTGGCAAGGCGTTCCACCAGGGCAATTGCCTACCCAGGAGCGCTCTTTGGATCGTGCCTCTCAGGCTGGCTGGAGTCCCCTGCAGGGACACTCCACAGGGCAGGCTTAAGCCGCCTAAGGGGCTGCCTCGGCCGTCTGTCAGTCACCTCACTTCCCGGTCAGGGAACCAAGAAATGCAGCAGGATGAGCCGCAGACAAAATCTCTCAGACACCGAGTTGTAGAAGGAAGGGCTTTATTCAGCTGGGAGTGTGGGCAAGCTACTGTCTCAAAATCCGAGCTCCCCAAATGCACAATTTCTGTCCCTTTTAAGGGCTCACAACACTAAAGATTTCACAAGAAAGGGATGCGATTGATTTGAGCAACCAGGCGGTACATTGTAGGGGCTGCATGTGCTGGTGGTCAGAGAGAAACAGAACAGGGCAGGGAGTTTCACAGTGTTGTTCTATACGATGTCTGGAATCTATGAATAACATCAGTTTCTAAGTTATGAGTTGATTTTTAACTACTGGGTTTAGGTCAGGCAGGCCCAGGCCTGGTTTCGGGCCTGGCGCCGGGCTGCCTGTCTTTGGTTTTACTTCCTTGTTGTTTTTTCTTAAAACAGGTACTGAGGCCGGGCGCGGTGGCTCACGCCTGTAATCCCAGCACTTTGGGAGGCTGAGGCGGGTGGATCATGAGGTCAGGAGATCGAGACCATCCTGGCTAACAAGGTGAAACCCCGTCTCTACTGAAAAAAAAAAAAAAAAAAAAAAAAAATACAAAAAATTAGCCGGGCACGGTGGCAGGCGCCTGTAGTCCCAGCTACTCGGGAGGCTGAGGCAGGAGAATGGCGTGAACCCGGGAAGCGGAGCTTGCAGTGAGCCGAGATTGCGCCACTGCAGTCCGCAGTCCGGCCTGGGCGACAGAGCGAGACACCGTCTCAAAAAAAAAAAAAAAAAAAAACAGGTACTGAGTATAAAACAATATGAGAGGGTCTCTCTCTTCCCTCAGTACCACTCCTTAACCAGCACCTTTTCTGTCAGGTGTCTTCTCTAGGCCTGGTTAGTCTTCTGCATCCATAAAGGGCTTGATCACATGTTACCCTTTCTAAAAGTCTCACCTCATATTTTGAGTTTACTTTCATCTTTCCTTTTCCACTTCTCTCAGCTTTAATGAGATAGTGCCTCACATTGTGATTAACTGTTGCTGATTAAGTAAAAAAAACAAGAAGATGAGTTTGATGAGAGAGAAAATGCTAGATATAGAGAAAAGAAAACAGTGAGCCAAGCTAGGAATTAGAAATATTCCCAAGCAACAAAACAGAGCAATTGGGACAAACACAAGTATCAATGTATATTTCTACAGTTATATAAGCTTGTGATACTATGCAGTTAAGTAATGTTTATAATTCTTTCCAGCTTATTTACAGTGAAAGATATGGACACTATGAAATCAGAATAGTTTAAAATCTAGATTTCCTTTTACTCTTTCTGTTGATTTTAAATATTGCTAACCAATTCTTTCACCCACACACCCATAATGTTTTTGGCCCTAGCAACCTAGATTTCCTTCTTGCATTAAGGTTATACCACTTGGATGTTTTGAAGTAAGAGACCTATCTGGGATTACAAAATTGTGAGCAAAGCACTCAGGTACTGTTCGCCATGTAGACAACAAAAACTAGGAGCCAAAAACAAAAACAGCCTCTTCTTACCGCTGAAGTAAAGTTGTTTTTATAATCCATATAGACTTGGTTTAAAAGTACTATTTTCGGCCGAGCGAGGTGGCTCACTCCTGTAATCCCAGCACTTTGGGAGGCCGAGGCGGGCAGATCATGAGGTCAGGAGATCGAGACCATCTTGGCTAACATGGTGAAACCCCGTCTCTACTAAAAATACAAAAAATTAGCCAGGCGTGGTGGCGGGCGCTTGTTATCCCAGCTACTCAGGAGGCTGAGGCAGGAGAATGGCATGAACCCAGGAGGTGGAGCTTGCAGTGAGCCGAGATAGCACCACTGCAGTCCGGCCTGGGCGAAAGAGCGAGACTCCATCTCAAAAAAAAAAAAAAAAAGTACTATTTTCACGCATCACATTGTCTCATGATATGGACAATAGAATATCCTTGGGTCACAAAGAATTAGTTTACCGTCTTTTTTAGGTAAACTTAGTACCTATAAAAGAACACAAGGGAAAATTTCTGATGCTAAAACACGACAAATTAAAGACATAATCCAAAAAAAATTTTCCTTGTTAAAAAAAAATTGTAATAAAGCCTGAGAATGCAGTTTGAATGCATTCACCACATTCCATGAGAAATCAATAGAGGCCCATATCAAAGCACATCATGAAGAATATTTGGTTTACTGGGATAAAGAAAACATTTTAAAAGCACCAGGAGAAGCAAGAAAACAGGTTACCTACAAATAATAAAAACTGGACTGGCCCAATATTTAACAACCAATTGTATTCTGAAAGAAAAATTCAGTGAGCTAATAATTTGGCATCCTAATCACTTGTCTTTCATGCATAAAGGCAACATAAAGTATGCTCAGATGCATAAAACCAGAGTCTTACCTGAGGATACACTCAAGCCAATTGAAAGAAAAATCAAAGTGAGGAACTAAATTGAGAAAGACATGAAATAAAATTGATTTCCATACTCAATTTGTATCCAACTTTGGGAATCCAGTTTGATTATGGACTACATTAAAGAATGAAACGTCACCCTATAGTGCCTCCCTCAAATGTTTCTCTTCTGTTTTTCTCTCTTCATTCCAGAAAATATGTTTATTCAGCCTTCTCAAAAATGCAGGGAAATAGGCCGGAAATTATAAATCATCCTCCCCAAAATTGTACAGCAATTCACAGCAAAGAGAATAACATTAAACACTTAAATAATTTGCTAACCTAATGAACTTATTATCCTCCAAAAGGAAATAGAAACCACAATTCTAGCACCAAGGATTTTTTTAAAAATATAAATAATGTAAAAGTTAGAAATGTAATGGAAAATCACTAATTATTATCCAAAGCAGAAATTATAGGGCCTGGAAGAAATGTGTTATATCTCTTGAAACCTCTAATATTCATTTACATATCCATTTTACATATCCATTTAAGCAGGAAAAAGATCTATTACCAAAATTATTGAACTTCGGATGCTGGCCACAAGCACTCAATTTGGGAACTTCTGTTGTTATTCAACATGAAGCTACCCTATATAATTGGAAAGCATTGTAGTATAGAAAATACTTCTCATCTGTGGGGAAAATATAATTTATTTGCAATTGTACTGTTCCTTTCACTAATTTTAAGGAGGGAAAACACAATTTGGATTAGCCAGACAGATGGGGTCACATCACTCCTCAAGCTATTTATCAAAGTTTTATGGCAGGAAAAATTTGTATTTAAGAAGCAAATTATTTGTAAATGAGTGTTTTCTTTTCTTTTGTTTTGTTTTTGCAGATGCCAAAGCCATATATGTAACTCTTGAGAAGAGCCTTTTTTTTTTTTCCTCTAAAAAACATTACTCTCCATCTATGGTTCTCTCTTGCCCTTTTTTTTTTTTTTTTTTTTTTTTTTTTTTGAGACGGAGTCTCGCTCTGTCGCCCAAGCTGGAGTGCTGTGGCGCGATCTCGGCTCACTGCAAGCTCTGCCTCCCGGGTTCACGCCATTCTCCTGCCTCACCCTCCCGAGTAGCTGGGACTATAGGCGCCCACCACCACGCCCGGCTGATTTTTTCTGTTTTTTAGTAGAGACGGGGTTTCACAGTGTTAGCCAGGATGGTCTCGATCTCCTGACCTCGTGATCAGCCCGCCTCAGCCTCCCAAAGTGCTGGGATTACAGACGTGAGCCACCGCGCCCGGCCTCTCTTGCCCTTTTAAGAAAGGTACTGCCTGGTACAATAATGCCCATGATGAGAAGAGTAAGAAGATTGAATTATCTTGAAACCCTCTCAACAAGGGGGAGGAATCCAAGCACCTCCTTGCACTGCTCACAGGGACCAAGAATCGTATAGGAGGGACCAAGAATCATATAAGAAGGACCAACAAAAGAGGCTGTAGCTGTCCCAATGAATAGACATTTATAACAACGAAGAGTGCTTACAGAGAAAATCTGTTTTGCTCCAAAGCCAAGACTTTAAACCCTAACTACATTTGTATCAAAAACTTAATGGAAAAATTCACATAATATGGCAAAATGTAAGCTTTAGAATCAGAAAGACCTGAATTTAAATCCTCAATATCTATGTCTGGTATATAATTTGGGCAAATTATGTTTTGCTTATTACCCTGTTTGCTCATTAGCAAAATGAGGATAATAATACCTGCCTTATAGAGTGCTTGTGAAGTTTTGAGTAAATACAGGTAAACCATGTGGTTATTCTATGAATATTATTAATGATGTCCTCAGATTCACTTAGAAAGAAGAAGAAATTAAGGGGCTTATTATCTGAAGTACATAACAATATAAACCAGTAAACATTTATTATAGACCTGCTATGTGTCCTTCAAGATTCTGGATGCCATAGAGTATGTGAATGTTATATTTGCCACATTAATCAAATAATACTTCTTTTTTTTTTTTTTTTTTTTTTTGAGACAGACTCTCACTCCATCACCCAGGCTGGAATGCAGTGGTTTGATCTCAGCTCGCTGCAGCCTCCACCTCCCAGGTTCAAGTGATTCTCATGCCTCAGTCTCCCAAGTAGCTGGGATTACAGGCCTGCACCACCATGCCTGGCTAATTTTTGTATTTTTAGTAGAGACTGGGTTTCACCATGTTGTCCAGGCTGGTCTCAAAACTCCTGGGCTCAAGCGATCTGCCTCCCTCAGCCTCCTAAAGTGCTAGGATTAATGGCATGAGCCACTATACCCAGCCAAATAAAACATTTCTGAGGATGATAAACTAAACTACAAGCACTAGAAAAAGTGAAAAGGTGAGATCTCTATAGAAGGTAGGGACAAGAAGTAAAAAATAGGAGCTGAGCCTTAAAGAATGAGCAGATGAGAGAAAAACGCAAGAGAGGATAGAGCAATACACAGAGGGAATCAGGGGTGTAGGGTGTGTATGGATGTGAGAGATACAGAGAGAGAAAAAGGACCATATCTTGGGTTCCCAATGAATGCCAGTACTGCATTAATTGCTTCACATAGTAATCACATTTAATCATCAGAATAACTCTGCAAGGTATTATTCCATTTTACAGAGAAGGAAACTGAAGATCAGAGAAGTTAGAATGCAGAGCTTTTAGTGACATAGTCAGGATTTGAAAGGAGGTCTGCCTCATCCGATACTTTAATTCTTTTCAATACCATGTTTGTCAAAGTAAAGATAAACATGATCAGACTGGAATGCAGTGATTCTGTTGAGTAAAAAGTGCTTTTACGTTCAGAAGCCTCTGAATGTCCATTTTGTGACAAGATTCTGAAATTTCTTTCATTCCAAAATTGAGGTAAATGTCCCATTGCCCACTCTCTTTAATGTGTAGGAATTTAGCTCTTTTCCCTATAGGCAAAACTTGCAAAACTTTCAGTAACCCCTGGAAAGCCTACAATTCCCATCACATACAAAATTCCCTTCCCACCTACCTCCAAACCCCAGTAAACTCTATTTCTCACTCCAGGAGGAATTGATTTTCATTGGTATTCATTTGAAGTAGGGAAGGTCATGATTTAGAACATTGAAAATGTGTTGTCTAAAGAGCATAGTTTGTATCTTGCTTCAGAGAGATCTTTAAAGATGCCTTGGCTTAGCTGACTTTTCTTACCCTCCTGGTCCAAGAAACATCCTCCAGGGAGAAAGTCAATTTCAAATCTGCACACTGCAGAGGCTATGGGGCAGTCAATTGCAGAATGCAGATCAGCCTGTGTCTTCTCTTTTGAGATAAACAGAATCTGGGAAGAGTGTTGAAGGAAAAGTTTTTGAGCAATTCTCATAGCAAGGGTGTCAGGTTTTAGGGAGATTTCTTTATTGTGTGGCAAATACAGAATTTACTAACTTGCCTGCACCATTCTATTATGCAACCAGGAAACAAGGCTCCATGCGAGTCTAAAAAACCAGCATGTTTCCATTTGAAAGCCAGCCTGACTGTAGCCTAGATCCCTACTAACAGAATGTACTTTTTAGTTCCCAGGTGCTCCCCAAGCTTTGAATGTGATATGTAAACCTTCTCAATTAGTCTATTCATTAAACAGTTTTTTATTGCAAAAGTGTGTCCGTGACAGGAGGTATGTTTTTTAAATGGTGTGTATGGAGAAATTAATTATTCTGCAGTTTCCTGAGAAAGAATGCAGTAGAATCTGGACGTGTTTAAAGCATACTTAATTACTCAGACACAGATATTATCAAAGCACACAATGGCTCCATATATCCCCTCCTAACATCTCAAAAAGCATCAACTCTAACTTTCCATTTTATAATGTAAATTTTTTTACATTTTACTTATTTATTTATTTATTTATTTTTATTTTTATTTTTTTTGAGAAGAGTCTCACTCTGTCACCCAGGCTGGAGTGCAGTGGCGCTATCTCAGCTCACTGCAACCCCTGCCTCCCAGGTTCAAGTGATTCTCCTGCCTCGGCCTCCCCAGTAGCTGGGATTACTAATTTTTGTATTTTTAGTAGAGATAGGGTTTCGCCATGTTGGCCAGGCTGATCTTGAACTCCTGACCTCAGGTGATCCACCCACCTCAGCCTCCCAAAGTGCTGGGATTACAGGTATGAGCCACCGTGCCCGGCCCTACAATATAAATATTTTTATATAAAATTGTCTGAAGATAATAAAGACTATACTCGAGGGAGCAAATGTTAGGCCAACCTTTGCTGTCACTAATGCTGGCCAGGACCATGAATATTCATGCAGAATACTTTTCTAAAAATCACATGGAGTGAATAGCACTTCTTTTTCCTTTCCCCAACATTTTCCCACTCTGACTAGAATAATTCAAAACTTTGAGCTGGGCATCAACAAGATTACAGACATTTGTATGTTTCTATTGCAATAAGTGGCCAAGTTTGAAGCTTACAGGACCTCCTTTCTAAGTAAAGGTGCTGGAGAAGCAAGAAGCTTTCCTGACCTGAGCTCCACTCAAGTGGTGAACAAATAAAGGTGATCCAAGAAGTGAAAGACCAAAAGCCATAGATCGAAGACACTAAAAGAAGAATAAACCTCTAGCCTTGGAAAAACAGTGCTATTTATTAAACACATGTACCAGGCATATTTGTTTTGCAAACATTAGTTTAATCTTCACAACTACATGAGGGTAGCATCATTATCATCCATCTTTCATAATTGAGGAAAGTGAGGCACAGTTAGTAAGTAGTAGAGCCAGGGTTTGCACCAGGCAGTCTTGACTCCAGAGACTGCATTCTTAGCCACTATGCAAGCTGTGTTACTCACGGTTCTCCAGAAACACAACCAATCGGTTATATACTGGTATATGAAATACATTTACTATGAGGGATTGGTGATTATGGATGATTATGATTATGTGATTATGGATTACATGACTATGGAGACTGAGAAATCCCATGATCTGCAGGCTGGAGGCCCAGGAAAGCCAGTGGTACAGTTTCAGTTCAAGCCCAAAATCCTGCAAGCCAGTAGAGGCAATGGCGTTAAGTCCTGGTCCAAGTCCAAAGGCTTGAGAACCAGGTGTGCTAATGTCCAAGGGCAGGAAAATAGGGAGGGCCCAGCTAAGCATTCACCTTTCCTCTGCCTTTTTGTTCTTTTCGGCTCCTCAACAGGTCGAATGATACCCAACCACACTGGTGAGAGTAATCTTTACTCAGTCTAACGATTGAAATGCTAATCTCTTCCAGAAACACCCTCACAGACACACCCAGAAATAATGTTTTGCAAACTATCTGGGCATCACTTAGCCCAGCCAAGTTGAAACATAAAATGAACTTTCACTCAAGCTCATCTCTTTCTATTACTTTCTAGACTCTAGGCCCCATGAGATCAAAGACTGTATCCATTTTCTTCATTTGTGTGTCTCCAAAATCCTGGAACACTGTCTGGCAAATATTAGGTGCCCAATGAATGTTTCATTATTTAATTATATAAGTATATGATGAAAACATGAATAAATGGAATTCCCAATCTAGCTTTCCCCCCTTGATCTTCAAATATATTGGGTATAGAAAACAGGCCATTCTTAGGTGCATGAAAGGCACTATCTAGTGAAAAATCCCTGCCCTAGCTGTTTTTCTAATGTGGACCCAGAGAATGGACATATACAATAGAAATACCCTCCTCACCCCACCCTCATGGACATTTTTTTCTGTTTTATATATAACCCTGACTAGCCTCTACTGTGTAATTTCCTGACACCATTTTTTTGTAGCATTTAACTAAACTGAATTTTAGGGCAATGAAAAGATAACAATTTTGCCTCTTCACATTTATCCATTGTCTCTCAGTGTGAGATCCATGGAAATTCTGCTTCAGAACCAACTGAGATGCCTGCTGGAGATGGGATTTCAGGATCCTATTTCAGACCTTCTGCATCAGAATCTCAGAGGTTGGGGCCCAGGAATATGAATGTTTAACCAGCTTTCTTTCTCTTTTTTCTTTTTTTCAGACAAAGTCTCACAATGTCACCCAAGCTGGAGTGCAGTGGCATGATCACAGCTCACGGCAGCCTCAATCTCCCAAGTTCAAGCAATCCTCCCACTGCAGCCTCCCAAGTAGCTGGGACTAAAGGCATGCAGGCACCACCATGCTCAGTGAAGTTTTTTTAATTTTTTTTTAGAGATGAGGTGTCATTATGTTGCCCAGGCTGGTCTCGAACTCCTGAACTCAAGCAATCCTCTTACTTCAGCCTCCCAAAGCATTAAGATTACAGGCATGAGCCAATGCGCCCAGCCTTAACCAGCTTTCTATGTGATTATTATACAGACTTGTTTTTGGCAAACACAAGAAGAGATTATCAAATCTCTTCCTCCACAAAAAAGGTTATAAACTCCTTTTTTAAAAAGCCCCTAACACTGGGCACCTGTATTTCAGAGATTAGCCTGTTTCCCCTGATGCTGAACCTGTTTACCCTCTCCCAACGTCTGATGTCTCCAGTTTCTACCCTGCTGCCTCCCACTTGTTTTCAAATTCTGCCCAACTCCCTTAGGGTAATCCTTTGGCTGAACTGTGTGTCTGACTTGACTTCAGCTTCTCTCCTAGATGTTTGCTGTGTGGACTTCATTGGTGGTCCCTAAGCAGTACTGTCCCATACTATACCTGGCTTTGACTCATGGAACCACAGGCCTATCCAACTCCTGGCCCCCATTTCTAGGGTAAGAATTTTAACATCAGTGAACTAATCCATATCACTTGGGAAGCATCCTTTCTCCCAAATATTGCTATTCAAAAGAAAGATATCACAGGGCTTAAGAATACAGATTCTAAAGTCAGAATCTACATCTCAGCTTGACTGCTTAGTAGCTGTGACATTGAGCAAGTTATTTTTCTTCTCTGCTCCCAGTTTCTCCATTCACAATAGTATCTCCTTCATAGGATGGTTGTAAGGATCAAATACACACGTGTAGAGCACTGAAACAGTGTCTGGCCCACAGTAAATGCTCAATAGGTGTTAGTTGCTGCTGCTGCTGTTGCTATTATTTATGTGAAATATGCTTCCAGGAGCATCCAAGGACAGACTTAGAGTTGGGAAACAGATACCATGAATATGAACTCTAAGGGGAAATCAATGAAAAAAGAGTTCTGTCTCCCTGTCTTGCATGTGCTATGTGAATAAGGGCAGATTTATACACATAAAAATGATCTTCTTTTCTCCCAGTGATGTTAGCAGCAGAATTTTCTTCCTCTTTAACTCCTTATATACAAAAGCTACATCCTAAAGACTTCATATCCCCTTTAAGACGTGAAGGGGTCCAGAATAAGTTTCTATGGCATCAAAATTACTTTGAACTGAAGGCATTTGAGTTCCTGAAATCCTTCATCTGCCTAAAAGCAGATCTTCTCAAAAGAACTAAAAAGAACTTTATTGTCCATAAGTCCCCTCCCTGGAACCCTAATCTTCTCTTCTTGGAGAGATATGTCAGCACCACACCCAGACACTGTCAGAAGTTATTACATCTTCCTTTCTCTCTCTCTCTCTCTGTTGCTTACATACACACACACACACACACACACACACACACACACACACACACACACATCCACACACACACATATATTTTTAAATGCATGCAATATTCATAAACAAATGCGGCCCGGCACAGTGGCTCACGCCTGTAATCCTAGCACTTTGTGAGGCCAAGGTGGGCGGATCACTTGAGGTCAGTAGTTCTAAACCAGCCTGCCCAACATGGTAGAACCCTGTCTCTACTAAAAATACAAAAAAAAAAAATGCATAAGAACACAGCAAGAGTGCTGTCTCCTAGGAGGGAAAGGAAGATGGGGTGGGGAGAGAAAGACTTACCTTTTATGGATATCCTTTTGAATCTTTTTAATTTTGAACCATGTAGCCATTCACAAGGTATATAAATATTAAAGCAAATGTTTAATTCATAGTAATTCCCATAATAGAAACAATAAATATAATATTATAATATGTAAGAACACAATGAATATGTTTTGTACATTTAACATACATAAAGCAAGCAACTGCAATTCTGATGAGATTAAAGCAAAAATACTTCATTACTATGATAACTGAGAATTTCTTCAAAATCATACAGGAGGAGGAGAAATGGTAATTTAAAAAGCCATTGGTAATTGTTGAAGCTGGTGATGGGAACATAGGGTTCCTTGTACTTTCATAAAGTATATAAGGGTTCTGTCTACTTTTGAAAATAACTAAAATTTTCCATAAGAAAAAGGGTTTTTTTTAAGTTTCATTAAGAGTCTATAATTAAGTAGTCAGGTTATTTATAGGGCTCTAAAGTAGATCAAATTGATCCCAGGATATGAAGCTTGTGAGGGCAGAGTAAAGGGGAAAAAAGCACTTCATTATTATTTGGTACAAGAAGCAATGGCTTACAGGCAGCCACAGGATTTAGACTAGGCTGGAGGTGGAGGCCTCACTGAGACAGAAGGCAGGTAGCACTGTCAGAAGTAACCGTCTCACATCTTTCTCAACAAAGACCACCATTCCAGTAAAGTTATCAAGCTTCAGCAACAGTAAATAAGCCTTTTATTTTTAATTGGATCTTTCTCAGAAATTCCATGTTGATGTTCGCCTCCTGCATATTTTCAAAGACTAAGAAAAAGCTGTAGAATGATTTTCAATTTATCTCAACAATTTCATATCTTGAACTAATCTAGATATTCTAATATTGTAACTGCCCGACAGATTCTTCCTGCCTGCCACACAAAGACCATGACATTGCAGTAAAGAAAGAGTTTAACTGATGTGAGGTTGGCCACGCCATGCAGGGGAAAGAGTTATTACTCAAATTAGTCTCATGAAAGGCCCATAGGCTAGGGGATTTTCAAAGATAGTCTCAGGGAATGGGTGGGGTGGCTAGGCAATGGGCGCTTGCTACTGATTGGTTGGCAGTACAATCATCGGGGTGTGTGAAATGATTCTCCTGCACTGAATGGCTTCTGGGTGGGGCCACAGGAGAAGTTGGTAGGTCCAGATAGAGTCATCACCGGTGTCAGACATACAAAAAAATCTAAAAAGGTATCACAAAAGCTCACGCCTGTAATCCCAGCACTGTGGGAGGCCCAGGTGGGTGGATCACCTGAGGTCAGGAGTTCGAGACCAGTCTGGCCAACATGGTAAAACCCCATCTCTACTACAAATACAAAAAATGTTCCAGGAGTTGTCATGGGCGCCTGTAATCTCAGCTACTCGGGAGGCTGAAGCAAGAGAATCGCTTGAACCCAGGAGGCGGAGGTCGCAGTGAGCCAAGATTGCACCATTGCACTCCAGCCTGGGCAACAAGAGTGAAACTCTGTCTCAAAAAAAAAAAAAAAAATGTATCTCACAAGGTCAATCTTAGGTTCCACAATAGTGATGTTATCTGCAGGAGTAATTGAGGAAGTTGCATATCCTGCGACCTCTGGAATAATTGCTGGCAGAATTCAGGCTCCTCTATTCTTCTAGGCTCCTGGCCTCTCATTAGCTTTTCAAAGGCAGTTGAGTTTTGGGGAAGGGCTATTATCATTTAAACTATAAACTAAATGTCTTCCAAAGTCAGCTTGGCTTAAGCCCAGTAATAATTAAGGCAGCTTGAAGGATAAGGACAAGAGGGAGGGTTAGTTAGATCAGATCTCTCCCACTGCCATAATTCTCTCACTGACATAATTTTTGCACAGGTGGTGTTAGGAATAACGCTCAAAATCCTAAGGAAATTGAACACTCGAACAAAGGATTCTTAGCAAAGCAATTTTACTTTTGCGCAGAGGGGTGCCTCCTTGGCCGGTTGCCATGAGAACACACCTGAACAAAGGGGTACAAGAGCCTTTATTCCCAACGCAAGTCCTGCCCTTGTACCCTTTCCCCATTGGCCGGGGGCGGGTCATACAATCTAAACTAATGCCAGTTGGCTAAACATTTGATGTTTTTAGATAGGGTGGGCACATAAAAGAAAGTGGAGGGAAAGGGGAAGGGGTATCTGTAATGAGCCAGAAAGTTACTCCTCTTTCCAAATAAGGAAAGGAATGTGAGCTGGTACTGATAACGCTTGGTACTGTCATGTGCCTGGGCATTTAACAAAGGCAAGAAGGAAAAAAGGAGAAAAATGGGGGATACTATGAATTAAAGAATAAAAGATTGATCAGATTATTTGAAGAGAAACCTCATCATATCCCACAGTGGTTTCAAAAATTTTAAAGAATATGACATAAAAATACTATTTCTATTTTAAATTCAAGGTGCTCAAGAGTTCAACACATCCATTTCCTATGACCAACTCACTCAGTTTCTCATTATGTTGCAGTTGGATTTCTGAGATACCAGGATGAACCAGGTGAGCCTATGCAAAGCTTATTTGACACTGATACTTCCAGGACCCAGCACCTCTTATTAGCATAGTTGAAGCAACAGAGAGGACTTCAGATGTTGCCGCTAAGTTTTTAAAATTATCTTTCATTGCTTATTGCTCTCTAAATTGTGGTTCCTTTAAAAATATAGCATTTTCAGATATAGCATTTCCTCTGGAAAGAATTAGGCATATTCCACCATTTCATTCCCATGCAAAAAGTTAAAACCAAGTATAGGCCCAGTTAGAGAGGGGAGGTTAGATAAATGTGTATTGGATGTTTTGTTCTTCTGTTACTTCCCCCTTTTACGTGTTTAAGATGAAAGAGCACTGGCTTGGGTTCTGCAGACCTCATTTCAAGCCCTGGCTTCTGCGACTCCATATTTCTGTGCTTTGAAATGTTGAGTAATGAACTGGCTTTCTATTTCCTTATCAATAAAATGGGGATAAAAGATCTATCCCACTAACTTTATACAGGTCTTGGAAATAAAAATAAAAACTCTTGCAAAATGATCATGTGTTACATGCTGCCACATGCTGGTTCCATGCTGCTTAGGAGATACTTGGTGCCTCCTTCACCTTCTACACCTACTCCTTCTACACCTACTTCCTTCATACCTTTCTCCCCCATTCAGATTTTCCTCACTTTTCTCACCTCTCAAACCACTAAGCACAGACCAGCCTCCATCTTCAGGCTATGCTAAAACTGTCCAGGCCAAGGTCACCAGTGACTTCTATGCTGTATCAATCTACTGGACATTTTCAGTCATTATCTTTTTAGACATCTCAACATAACTGACCTCTTTCATTAAAGTCTCTTCATTACGGTCTGCTCTTCATGCTCCCTGTTTTTTTTACCAGCCTTTCTGGCAGCTTCTTCTCAACCCTCTTTGCTGGCTTCTCTGTCTGTTAATTTATATGTTTTTAAGTTTCCCAAATGTTCTGTTTAAAAAAGAAATTAGTAGAGATATAAAGTTGTTTTTTTATGTAACCTTCCTTCATGCAGAAGAAGGTTCCTTTTTTTGTTTAACAGAGAAAATTCACAAGTATTTTATACTTTTTAAAAAAACAAAAATGTACATTTAAATATTACTTCCAAGACAACACATTATTATGCAAAACTAATGAGATTTGCAGAGATTCTAGAGGTTAAAGATTATTTTCATAGGACTTAACAATATGTGAAGTCCTAGTGTGTCTTACAAGAAGTTATGATGTAAAATATAATCTGCTTTTCTGTAGCTACAAGAAAAGGTGGGAAATTTTCTACTTGTGTCACTAACATTTCTTGCACCAGCAATTACAGGCACCTATGGGTTGAAGACTAATGCTGGAATTCTGTCAGTTAGCTCAATAAACAAAAGAAGCATGACTAAAAACGTGGAACTTAAAATGTGAGGGATAGGGGAGAAGAGAACGGAATAAAATTTTTAACAAATGAAATTTTTTTGTTTTTTTTTTTTTGAGACGGAGTCTTGCTTTGTCACCCAGGCTGGAGTGCAGTGGCGGGATCTCGGCTTACTGCAAGTTCCGCCTCCTGGGTTCATGCTATTCTCCTGCCTTAGCCTTCCAAGTAGCTGGGACTACAGGCGCCCGCCACCACGCCTGGCTAACTTTTTTGTATTTTTAGTAGAGACGGGGTTTCACCGTGTTAGCCAGGATGGTCTCGATCTGCTGACCTCGTGATCCACCCGCCTTGGCCTCCCAAAAGTGCTGGGATTACAGGCGTGAGCCACCACGCCCAGCCAACAAATAAAATGTTATCATTCAATGCATTGTATTTCTTTGGGCCAGATCTCTAAATATTTCAGTCACTCTGTGCTCAGTACCAGACCCCCTACTACTGTTCTTTCTCTGTACCCCTTCTCAGATGATTCCATCAATTCCCGTGGCCTTAATTAACTTTTCTTTGCAACTTACTTCCAGATTACACCTGTAACCTAACTTTTCTGGACTTCTGACAGGTATTCTACAGCTGATTGCTTGGCATCTCCTATTAGAAGACTCACAAGCACCTCAAAATTACTATATCCGACACAGAACTCTTTAATTTTTGTGCCCTATCTCCTTTCTCTTTCCTTGTCATTGACATCTAACTATGGCACCCTCATTCATCTACCAAGTTTTTCAAAGCAGAAATCTAAGAGTCACCTTTGATTTTTCTCTTTCCTTCATGTTCCTCCAAATTTACCCACTTCAAGTTTTATCGATTATCCTTCTAACTTATGTCTTCCTTAGATCATCTTTTCTTCAGCTCTGCAGCCATTACCCAAGTCCAGGCCATCATTGTCTCTTGCATGGGCTATGGCAATAACCTTCAAACTGGCCTCTTCCTTTTGCCCTTGCCCTCATTCAATTCCTTTTTCCTATATCAGTCAACATGATCTCTTTTTTTTTTTTTTTTTTTTTTTTTTTTGAGACGGAGTCTCGCTCTGTCGCCCAGGCCGGACTGCGGACTGCAGTGGCGCAATCTCGGCTCACTGCAAGCTCCGCTTCCCGGGTTCACGCCATTCTCCTGTCTCAGCCTCCCGAGTAGCTGGGACTACCGGTGCATGCTACCACACTATCAGGCCTCTGAGCCCAAGCCGGCAGGTATACATCCAGATGGCCTGAGGCAACTGAAGAATCACAAAAGAAGTGAAAATGGCCGGTTTCTGCCTTAACTGATAACATTATCTCGTGAAATTCCTTCTCCTGGACAACGAGTATCAGAAGCTCCCCACTGAGCACCTTGTGACCCCCACCCCTGCCTGCCAGAGAACAACCCCTTTGACTGTAATTTTCCACTACCTACACAGATCCTATAAAACTGTGCCACCCCTATCTCCCTTCACTGACTCTCTTTTCGGACTCAGCCCGCCTGCACCCAGGTGATTAAAAAGCTTTATTGCTCACACAAAGCCTGTTTGGTGGTCCCTTCACACAGACGCATGTGACATTTGGTGCCATGACTTGGATCGGGGGACCTCCCTTGGGAGATCAATCCCCTGTCCTCCTGCTCTTTGCTCCATGAGAAAGATCCACCTACGACCTCAGATCCTCAGACCAACCAGCCCAAGGAACATCTCACCAATTTTAAATCGGGTAAGCGGCCTCTTTTTACTCTCTTCTCCAACCTCTCTCACTGTCCCTCAACCTCTTTCTCCTGAATTTCAGCACCACCCTTCAATATCTCCCTTCCCTTAATTTCAGTTCCTTTCCTTTTCTGGTAGAGACAGAGGAGACACATTTGATCCATGGACCCAAAACTCCGGCACCAGTCATGGACTCGGGAAGACAGTCTTCCCTTGGTGTTTAATCACTGCAGGGATGCCTGCCTGATGATTCACCCACATTTCAGAGGTGTCTGATCACTGCAGGGATGCCTGCTGTGATCCTTCACCTTGGTGGCAAGCACCACCTCCCCTGGGGGCAAGTACCCACCCCCTCCCGTGTCTCCACCCTCTCTTTTCTCTGGGCTTGCCTCTTCACTATAGGCAGCCTTCCACCCTCCATTCCTCCTTCTTCTCCCTTAGCCTGTGTTCTCAAGAACTTAAAACCTCTTCAACTCTCCTGACCCAAAATCTAAATGCCATATTTTCTTCTGCAATACCACTTGACCCCAATACAAATTCGAAAATGGTTTCAAATAGCCAGAAAATGGCACTTTCAGTTTCTCTATCCTTCAAGATCTAGATCATTCTGGTCGTAAAATGGGCAAATGCTCTGAGGTGCCTGATGTCCAGGCATTCTTTTACACATCGGTCCCTCCCTAGTCTCTGCTCCCAATGCAACTCATCCCAGATCTTTCTTCTTTCTCTCCTGTCTGTTCCTTCAGTCTCCACCCCAAGCTCTGAGTCCTTTGAATCCTCCTTTTCTACAGACCCATCTGACCTCTCCCATCCTCCCCAGGCTCCTTCTTGCCAGGCCGAGCCAGGTCCTAATTCTTCCTCAGCCTCCACTCCCCCACCCTATAATCCCTCTATCACTCCCTTCCTCACACCCAGTCCAGCTTACAGTTTCATTCCACAACTAGCCCTCCCCCACCTGCCCAACAATTTCCTCTTAAAGAGGTGGCTGGAGCTGAAGGCTTAATCAAGGTTAATGCTCCTTTTTCTTTATCCTACCTCTCCCAAATCAGTTAGTGTTTAGGCTCTTTTTCATCAAATATAAAAACCCAGTCCAGTTCATGGCCCATTTGGCAACAACCCTTAGATGCTTTACTGCCCTAGACCCAGAGAGGCCAGAAGGCCATCTTATTCTCAATATACATTTTATTACCCAATCTGCTCCTGACATTACAAAAAGCTCCAAAAATTAGATTCCAGCCCTCAAACCCCACAACAGGACTTAATTAACCTCACCTTGAAGGTGTACAATAATAGAGAAGAGTTGCAATTACTTGCCTGCCTCCGCTGTGAGACAAATCCCAGCCACATCTCCAGCATACAAGAACTTCAAAACGCCTAAACCACAGTGTCCAGGCATTCCTCCAGGACCTCCTCCCCCAGGATCTTGCCTCAAGTGCGGGAAATCTGGCCACTGGGCCAAGGAATGCCCGCAGCCTGGGATTCCTCCTAAGCCATGTCCCATCTGTGCAGGACCCCACTGGAAATCAGACTGTCCAGCTCGCCCAGCAGCCACTCCCAGAGCCCCTGGAACTCTGGCCCAAAGCTCTCTGATTGACTCCTTCCCAGATCTTCTTAACTTAGCAGCTGAAAACTGACACTGGCCAATCGCCTTGGAAGCCTCCTGGACCATCGCAGATGCTTTGGGTAACTCTTACAGTGAAGGGTAAGTCCGTCCTCTTCTTAATCAATATGGAGGCTGCCCACTCCACATTACCTTCTTTTCAAGGGCCTGTTTCCCTTGCCTCCATAACTATTGTGGGTATTGATGGCCAGGCTTCTAAACCTCTTAATACTCCCCCACTCTGGGGCCAACTTGGACAACATTCTTTTATGCAGTCTGTTATAGTTATCCCCACCTGCCCAGTTCCCTTATTAGGCCAATACATTTTAACCAAATTATCTGCTTCTCTGACCATTCCTGGACTACAGCCACATCTCATTGCCACCTTTCTTCCCAACCCAAAGCCTCCTTCGCATCTTCCTCTTGTATCCCCCCACCTTAACCCACAGGTATGGGACACCTCTACTCCCTCCCTGGCAACTGATCACACACCCATTACTATCCCATTAAAACCTAATCACCCTTACCCAGCTCAACGCCAGTATCCCATCCCACAATAGGCTTTAAGGGGACTGAAGCTTGTTATCACTTGCCTGCTACAGCATGGCCTTTTAA